>NC_000015.10:90986732-91138247 GCF_000001405.40 Homo sapiens | reverse complement strand
AGATACAGAACATTCCTATCATTGCAGAAAGCTCCATTGGACATGCTCCGCCTCAGATTCAGGTTAGGGTTTTTTTGGTTGGTTTTTGTTATTGTTGGGTTTTGTTTTTGTCTTGTTTTGGGGGTCAAGGCTACTTCATAGGTAGTGTTGTGATACTTCTATCAAGATACATATAAAATCTTGTCTTTCTTCATGTGATGTTAACACTCATTGGCAATTATTGCCTAGACCCTGTAATTCAGATTACAGAATTCCAATTCTGTCACTGTTTTTTCATTTGTCAGCTGGAATACTTCTATAAAGAGCAAATTCCCCTCATCTATCATTTGGTTGTCCTGAGATATAGTTTGTATTGGAAAGGCAAAGTAAACACCTGATTCTCTCTTCTTATTTACCAGTTTTCAAAATAATAAGTTGGTTTCCTAGTATCTTCCAAAAGTGACCAGTGAGGTGTTCTATTCTGAGCACCATTATAAACCTACAGGTTAAACATATTTGATGTGTTCCGATGAATTAATGCTGTTGGCTACAATTAATAACCTGTGCAAATGTGTGTGTGTGTGTATATATATATGAAATATATGTATATATGAAATATATATGTATATATGAAATATATGTATATATGAAATATATATATGAAATATATATATATATGAGAAATATATATATATATATTTCACATTTTCCTAGTTTTGTCCTGTAGTTTTGGAATAAAATCTAATAAGTGAGATTTCTGAGTCTCAAAGTAAATATACATGTAATTTGTCTTCCACCTCATGCCTGACACACAGTTACTCACTAGTGATTTGTTAACTGCTTCATCCATTGTAAATATAATTATAAGTTAAAAATAAATAATAGCTTTGTGGTAAACGCTTTGAAGCCACCCTCATCTTCCATCTCACATTTAGAATCACACAATTTTTAAAACAATGGAGGTGGGTAGACTCTAATATGAGGGTGGCTTAAACAACTCATTAACTGGGGTGATTAGTAGTTGGAGACTGGAGAAGTGTTCCACTGACGTATTTAAGTTTTTAATAAAACCATTTAAAGAATTTATACAACCATGAAAAAATACATGGGATTTGGAGGTTATGTGACCTGGCCCTCTCACCTCCCAGCTGAGGAAACTGAGGCTCAGTGACTGCCTGCTTCTTACGAGTCACCCCAATAACTGGTTTACAAGTTGCATCATTCATACTCTTCCCTAAAAATCACATACCAGTGCTTTTGCTTTGCCTGCAGGTTGTCTTCTGCGTGGATCAAATTTTCATTCAGGAGCAGATAGTTTTTCCTTCATCTGCCAAAATCCCGGTCAAGGTAAGTTGCCATTGACCAGGAGAGCAGGAATAAGCTGGCTACCCAGAGCCCTCTTGCTTCTCCTGCCAAAGCTGCTTGCCCTCTTGTTTCATCACTGCCACCCACCTCTGGATCCCATGTGCCAGCCTTCAGATGCCTCTTGGCACAGCAGGAGAGCTGGTCAACCCGGCTGTCACCACCCCCTCCTCCCTGAGGGAAGGAAGCCACCCCATTCCCGCTCCCAAGAGACAGATCTGCTGACAACTAAAAAGGCAGTCTGCCTTACGGGAACCTAGAGCTTCCTTGCTCCAGGGTGTGAATGGAATGGTTGGCCCCACCTGGCTGTCAGGTCAGGGCTCAGCAAATTAGGCCAGTAATGAAATGAAGATGTAAAGGGCTTGCAGACAGCTGAGTCAAGAGCCTTACTCCGCCGCACAGTTCTCTCCCTGGGACAAAGCACCCGAGACGCATGGGCCTTCCCACTGGTTCTCCACTAGCTGGATGGGCACGGGTAAATAAAGGTTCTCTCTCCGAGAATATACCTAAGGCCCCTAGAGAGTAAGTCACCCACAAACTGACCCCTTACATTCTGGCTGTCAGATGCATCAACCCTACATCAAACCTTCCAGCAACCTGCTGAGGTCGGCCGCTCTCTCCCGACTAATCTGAGGTTTATACCTATGCTACACTGCATCTGAGTATGCCCACCTGAATGGCATCCTGCTAAGTTCTCTCCAGCAGGCCCCTCTTTGGCATATCAGAGACCAGTGGCATTTAATCTGGGATTCCCAGATCCCTAGGAGTCTGTGAAGGCAGTACTTTGTGAAGGTGGTAAAGTACACAAAGTTTTCAGAATGTTATGGTTTATATTATCTTCATATCTAACTTTATATTATTTTCATATCTACACATGCCAAAAAAAAAATCAAGTGTGTGTGTTGGGGAAGAGGCAGTGGGAGAAAGCTGCAATCGTGTGGTTCTCTTGCCCTCCTGCAAGGTGAAGGCTAACAGCACTTCCTCCTAGGAGCTGTGTTTTGTAATGAACAGAGAGGAGTTTTAGGAGAGGCAGACCTGGGTTACAATTCAGGCTTCATGAACTGCTAGCCATGTGAAATTTGAAAAAATAATCACTGCAAACCCATCTTTTGTCTCTAACACTAGGCACATACCCCAAACTTCACAAAGCAGAGATGTGAAATAAGTAAGTAGGCAAAGCACCAGAGTTTCAGAAACACAGTAACGGCTCAGTAAACGCTGGTTCCTTCTACTATTACCTTTCCCTGGCCTTTATGAATGAGCAGGCAGGATGGCGTCATGGTTTCGATTTTCATATCAGACAGACGCTGTTTTACATTCAGCCCCACAGTTATGGGTGACTTATCCCTCCAAGCCTGAGTTTTCTCATCCATGAAAGAAAATTTTCTTGCAACATTGCTGTGATGATCAGAGATAATGTACCATGAAGCACTTGCTCAACAAAAAGTACCTCTGTTTTTCATGGTTGTTCCCCTCACCACCATGTAGGTAGCTGTCAACTGAGAAGTATGACACCCCCGACACGGGAGAATCTGAGGTGAAGCGGGAAGAGTGAAAGATTCATGCTGAATGCCAAGTGTTCTCAAAGGGGTGGATATTGCCTCCAACGGGATGAAAATTGGTTTTTGAAAAGGGTGATAATCTGCTCTTTGAGGGGAAGGAAAAACAATCTTAGATATCACAATGGTTTGTGGCCTCTCAAGGGCCACAGTACATAAAAAGATACACGGTATATCTGTAGTATTAGAATTTCATGATGGCGGAGAGGGGTCCCAGCTACTTGGGAGGCTGAGGTGGGAGGATCACGTGAGCTGGGGAGGTCTAGGCTGCAGTGAGCAATGATCACAGTACTGTGCTCCAGCCCGGGTAACAGAGCAAGACCCTGTCTCAAAATAAAAAAAAAAAAAAAAAGGTTGAGAAATACTGTTATACAGAGACCAGAAACATCTGAGCAGAAAAGGAAATGGTTGACTGGGAAAGCAATATTCCACCTCTGCATTAGAACGAATGGTTGGGTAAAGAGGTAGGCTGAGAAAATAGGTGGGACTCAATCCCACCTGCTGGAAGCCTAGAAATGATTTTTTGGTACAGGGCAGTTTTTGTTGTCGCTGTTGTTTTTATTGGGGTTGTTTGCTTTTTAAAGAAAAGGAGCTAATAAATATTGAACACTTATGTGTTAGGAATTGTGCCTGGCACTTCATATATGTTACTCCAACAGGACCATGAAAAGTAGATGTCAGTTTAACTGATGAAAAAGCTGAGGTTCTTAAATGTTAAGCAAAACATTTCATTCCAGAGCCTGTGTTCTTTCCAGAGTGGCCACCTTCCCAAGTTGCTCCAGACAGTGCCTGATCACGCCGGGTGTCCTGGAGTCATTTGTAAAAAGCACCCCCTTTTCGCTCTCTTGCAGGTTTGGATCCTAAATTAAATAATCATCCTAGTTGCAGCTACTTTGTGGCTCTGTCCATCCCTCAAGGTATTTCCACAGGGAAGGCCTAGAATCCCAGCGGTCTTGAATGGATTCTGAATTGTAGCAACATCCTTATCAGAAAATGCAAAGAGGTCCCTGGGAAAGAAGAAGTTGAGTGATGACAAGGAAGTGGTGGAGAAGGCCGGGCCTGTGGCTCACGCCTGTAATCCCAGCACTTTGGGAGGCGGAGGTGGGTGAATCACCTGAGGTCAGGAGTTCGAGACTAGCCTGGCCAACATGGTGAAACCCATCTCTACTAAAAATACAAAAATTAGCCAGGCGTGGTGGTGCACACCTGTAATCCCAGCTACTTGGGAGGCTGAGGCAGGAGAATTGCTTGAACCCAGGAGGCAGAGGTTGCAGTGAGCCGAGATCACGCCACTGCACTCCAGCCTAGGAGACAGAGCAAGACTCCATCTCAAAAAAAAAAAAGGAAGAAAGAAAGTGGTGAAGAGGCATGGGAGGACCTTATTTTTAAGGTATCTCAACATGCCTCACTTTTTAAGCATCCTGCAAAAAGCCCTCATGTGCATGTGGACGTTTCCGAGCTCCAAGTATGCAAAACCCCAAATGTGATCACCATAAGTGCACTGCAGAAGTTCCAGCTTCTCATGGATCGCATACCTGGAAGGCTCACTGACACCCAGGCAAGGGAGAACAAGAGAAATCAGAAGAAGCCCCAGTCAAAGACTTTGTTGCCATGGCGCCAAGCTGTGTCCAGTGACCCTGCTGCCTGGGGACAGGAAGTGTGGAGAGTTTGGAGTTGCAGACTCCAGACAGCAGCCAGCGAGCACCTGCCTCCTGGGCAGTGGATGGAAGCCCTGCCGCCTGTCCCCACTCTGGCCTGGGCATTTTCTGCAGACCCTCACAGGGCTCAATAAATTGACATCTGCAGGTTCAAGCCGAAGTCGAAGCTAGAGATGTGCTATTTGTGCCTACCTCTGAATAATTTAACACTCCCTCCAAAATAGACTATCATTAGAATTTGTCAATTCCAGTGCATTTGAGCAGAGAACCTCAACCAAAAAACAAAAACAAAAAAAAAAGGAAAAGGAAGAAAAAGTTCCCACACATATTGCCTCAGAGTAGTGAAACAGGAGGATGGCGGTTCAATTTTGTTCTTTGTTTGTTTGTTTGTTTCATCAAAACCCTTTGCTTCCTAGTGCATCAGCCCCAACAGGAAATGCTGTTTTTTCATGTCTAATTAGCCCCGAGACCCAGTCTGTGCTGTGGGCAGGAGATGCAGGAGAAAATGCTTAATTCCTACAAATGCACCGGTGTCAGTTTCCACCTGCACTGCTTATTCTTTGCTGTGATCATATTGAAGTCTCTTAATCTCTATGATCCTCAGTTTCTCCGCCTGCAAAATGTGAATAATGATGTGGCCTCCCTCATGGGGGTGTTACAGAATTAAATAAACTAACAGAGGTAACATACTTCTCTCAAGGCCTGGCACGCAACAGATGCCCAATAGTCTTTAGTCTTTTAGCCCTTATTATGCACTGGCCTTAAGTGAAATGGCGCCAATTCCCATGAGGAACCAGAGACATGCACAATTTTCAGCCCTACATTAACTCACTTTTTTTTTTCTTTTTGAGAGACAGGATCTCACTCTGTTGCCCAGGCTGGAGTGCAGTGGTGCGACTATAGCTCACTGCAGCCTCAAACTCCTGGGCTCAACGGATCCTCCCACCTCAGCCTCTCCAGTAGCTGGGACTACAGGCATGTGCCACTGAGGCAGGAGAAATAGGGTCTGGAGGCAAAAAACCTAAATGTTTCATACCGACTTCCTAGAACTAAATCAAAAGGAAAACCCTAACTTTCCACTCCTAAGTAACAAAAGGACCAGAGGCTACTGGTCCCTTTGACCTTTTCTGCAGAGCAGATGGAAAATTGGCTGTCTGCAATAAATCAGACTGAATGAGGGTCCCGTCTTCGTTTGCAACTTTGTAACTTCACTCCAGCCTCTGAATGGTTGCTGTCCACAACCAATCAGACTGATTGCAGGCCAAGTCTTCATTTGCATAGAAGTATAACTTTACTTCACCCTAACCCCTGATTGTTTTTGCAACCAATGTTTGCACAGGTGTGTGACCTTTGTAACTTCACTTCAGCCTCTGGTTGGCTGCTTTCTGCAACCAATCAGACTGATTGTGGGCTACTACTTCATTTACATGAGGTGAGCATGAAGCAGCCAATGGGAAACTTCTAGAGGGTATTTGGACCCGAGACGATTCTGTAGCTGGGCTCTTGAGCCGCTGCTGGGGTCTGCGGCCACACTGGAGTGTACTTTCATTTTCGATAAATACCTGCTTTCGTTCTTTTGATGCTTCATTCTTTCTTTGCTTTGCTGGGCGTTTTTGTCCCATTCTTTGTTCAAAACACCAAGAACCTCAATAACTTGCAGTCACGACCCTCTACCAGTGACATCACCACACTTGGCTAAGTTTTGTTTGTTTATTTGTTTGTTTTTTGAGACAGAGTCTCACTCTATGGCCCAGGCTGGAGTGCAGTGGCACAATCTTGGCTCACTGCAACCTCTGCCTCCCACGTTCAAGCAATTCTTGTGTCTCAGCCTCCTGAGTAGCTGGGATTACAGGCACCTGCCACCGCACCCAGCTAATTTTTGTATTTTTAGTAGAGACGGGGTTTCACCGTACTGCCCAGGCTGGTCTCAAACTCCTGACCTCAAGTGATCCGCCTGCCTCGGCCTCCCAAAGTGCTGGCATTACAGGCATGAGCCACCACACTCAGCCACTTTTTTGTTTTTTTTGTTTTTTTTTTTCAAATTTTTTGTAGCAATAGAGTCTCACTATGTTGCCCAGGCTGACGCCAAATTCCTGGCCTCAAGCAATCCTTCTGCCTTTACCTCCCAAAGTGCTGAGATTACAGGCATGAGCCACTGCACCCAATGTGCAAACCCACTTTCTTTTGCCCATTACTTAGGCTGCCAAACACTCACAGTAAAATATATACATATACACATACACACACAAACATATATGTGTATATGTATACATATATGTGTGCTTATCTGCCCAACCCCCCCCAATACAGATGTTCAAATCGACTGACCCCCAGTCCTGCTTGTCAATGCCCCTAGTTGTGCTTAGTTTTATTCCCCGTGAGGGCTGTTCCAAACCTTTTCCCTGGACTGGGTGCAGTGGCTCACACCTCCCAACACTTTGGGAGGCCAGGGCAGGAGAATTGCATGAGCCCAGGAGTTCAAGACTAGCCTGGGCAACAAAGTGAGACCTTGTCTCTATTTAAAAAAAAAAAAAAAAAAAAACAAGAAAACATCTTTTCCCTGAATCTCCCCCCATCTCCAAAACCCTTCCTGACCTCACTCGCTAGTTCATTGAAAGCCTTCTCTCAGAAAGTCTCCCAACTTCACCCACTCCCTTCTCCTCCTCTCCCTCCACAGCGTAGCTACCCTTTTCTAAGGCTAACCCCCGACTGCTCTCAGCCCCACACCCTCCCATGTGTTCCTGAACTTGGATCCATCAACCATCTCCTCCTTTTGCATCTTCAAGTTCCTTCTCCTCACACTCTCATTTTTTACCCTGTAAAAATACTAAAATATCACACATCCTAAAGACATTTCCTTCAATCCTCTTTCCTACAAGCTTGGCCAACATTCTCCCCTTGCTTTCACCTCCGAACGTCTTGAAGGACTCACTGAACCGTGCACCGCCACACACTCCCCTCTTTGCCCCCAGGACTGCAGCTCTTCTTCTCACCTCCATGCAGGCAGTATGTCTGCAAGACTCACAAGCCACATCCTGACTGACACGCAGGAGCTTCCTCTTGGTCCCTGTCCTCCGTGAACACCTACTTGGTCAGACCCCTCCTGCTTTGGAATCTCTGACACCAGCTTTCTCCTGACTCTTCTCCTTCCTCCCCAAATGCAGCTGCTTCTCTCTCTCTCTCTCATTCCCTGTTCCTTACCCTCCACTTCCATTTTCAATGCAAATCTTCTCTATGGTTCTAGCATGAGATTTTCTGCTTCTATTCTGTCTCCCTGGATGATTTCAGCCACTTCTGCCACATGATGCTTCAGCCCTAGCCAAGCACGTAACTCCAACCCTGACCTTGTCCCTGAGTTGCAATTGGTTCCTGAGCCTGTTCACTCAAGAGAGCCCAATATGGAATTCAGTATTCCTCCAACACTCCTCCCATCCTCTCTCCCAGTTGCCCTAACCTAAGAACCTCAGCTGTGTCACTCCTCTCACTCTCCTCAGCCCCACTTCCTAGACTTGCCAAGTCCTAGCCGTTTCATCTCAGCATTAAGAATCATCTCATCCATCTCTCCTTTCCTTTCTCCTACCACTGTTCAGGTTCAGGCCTTGGCACGCCTGACCTGCATGCTGGCCACAGCTGCCCACGTGGCCCCAGGCCTGTCGTCCCTCTCTTCCCAATTTATCCACCCCTAGCGTTGACGGCCATCTCCTTGGAATGGTTGTTAATATCACCTCCCTTTGCTGAGCCTTTGCCAAGGACCAGGCACTGAGCTAAGCGTGTTACATGCATTATCTCACTTAACCCTCCCGAGATCCCCGCATGAGTACTCTTCTTGTCTCTCTTTTACAGATGAGGAAACACAGGCTGAGGAAAACCATACTTACGGTCACACAGTTAGTAAGTGGCAGGGCTGGGATTCTAATCCAGGCTCTCCAACTCCAGGGCACAGGCCAGAAGCCACGAAGTTATACTGCCTCCATCCACAGACCGTATCACATCAAACAGATCGCCTCCAAAGAAGCCTCCGCTGGCTCCCTCATACCTACCACTGCCCTCTGCATGGCCCCTAAAGCCATCTGGAGGCAACCAGATGCAGTCCTAGTCTGTGCCCAGTGTGCTGTGCTGGGCACATGTGACCTTCTGTTTTGGTTCTGTCCACCCTTGCAGCTTCATCCATGCACTAGGGCCATACTCCGGTTCTGGGCTTTTCCAAGACATACATCTTTGCTGATCCCCACCATTGCACTTGACTCAGCCTCAATGCTCCTTCCTCCCCCAGTTCCATCTCCGGACAATTGATTTCTCCCCCTTCATCACAACCCTGCATTTTACGTATACCTTTGCCACAGCCTTCCTTTCACTTTACCTTATGAAATGGTAAATTTCATTTATGAAATGCAAATACATGCAAATGCACATGTATTCAACCCACTTGACTCTAACTTTCTTAAGGTTGGATATCTTTGACCTACTCATTTCTGTAATGTGTCATGTACCTACCCCAGGGCATGTTAAATATTTGTTGAAGTGACTTGATCCCAAGGATCTCACACATACGCTGTCGCTGGGATTATTTCACTCCTGTTTGAAAGGCAGCAGGACATAAGACTTACATGTGGCCATGTAGGGGCCAAGGGCTCCCTGGCCCTCTGAAGTTTCACCAAAAAATCAACTCACAAAAGCAGATTAATTGGAAGGCAGGCATACAACTTTATTTGACGTGTATCCACGGGAGCCTTCAGAATGAAGACCCAAAGACACAAGGGAAATTGGCCATTGTTATGCATGGGTTCAACAAAGTATAGACAGCCATGGAGAAATATGATTGGACAAAAAGGATAGGATCTAGTGCTCATGACTAAGTGAGGAAACCCAGAAGACCTACCTGTCTAGATTCCTCTGGTCATCTCTGGGCAGCATTCCTTCCTTCTGGGTGTGGGGCAGGGCCCTCTCTGGACTGAGAGTCTTAGGACCTATAGTCAAAGAAGGTTGGTCAGATAATTTCTTTATGGCCAGGTTTTACACAGAAAGGCAGAGGGAAGTGGGAGTAGTATTTTTAGGTTTTATGGCTGGCTTTGGGGAAAAAGTATTCTGGTTTCTATGATCTGCCCTGGGAAAGAAGGATTCTAGTTTCTATGGCTAGCCTTGAGAGAGACTGGGACTGAGAGACAGACGGGGAGGAGAAAAACACTTTCGCTTCTGAGGCCTTCATTTTTGGATATTGTTTTCTGAGCGCCAATAGCAATGTAGGGATCTCATATTCAGCCAGGTGAGGGTTTGCGGGGTGGAATCAGACCCTGGGTAAGTACCTGGTCCATTCACTTTTTCTGACTCTGCAGAAAAATCTTACTAACAAGCTGCAAAGATAATTGTCAAGGAAAGAACAGAACAGCTTTTACATTCTGACACCTCCTCCTGCTCTCCCATCCCACCTTCTTGGAGAACAGCCTCTGCGGATGACTCACTGGTGGAAGAGGGTGAAAACAGCTCCCAGGAGGGACTGAAAATCTCCGCTACACAAAGAGCTGAGTTGGTGATGGGATTTGTCCCCAGAGGGTGGAAACACAGTTTCTGCACAATCCCAGATTTAATTTGAGTCCCTGGGATGAACGTGACAATGATAATAAGAGCTTTCACAGGTATATTTTTCTCTTTTTCTCCAGTGCAATAGGTTCAAATACCTGAGGGATGTTTTTCTCTGCAGAGCACCAAATGCCATTCTTCATGACCTTATCCCAAGTTTCCTCACAGTTCATAAAATGCATGTCACTTTAATGCTTATAATGAGAAAAAGAAAAGAAAAGCTCAAAGAACTACTCCTGAATCTGCATAGCTTTGCAAAATTAGCACAGAAATTCTGGCAAACCCCTGGGACTATTACTATGCCCCAATATGCACAAGTTAAAACCTTAACTCCACTATGGAGGCAGCATGCTGAAGCTCAGCAGAACACTGAGACCACATGTCTCACTCCTCCTGCCCTCCACCCACCACACTTCCCCCTGCAACTCAGCTCCCTGCACACACAAACACCTTCTGGGCTGTCCCTGGGCCCCTTCTGTGACTGTCATGCCTCTGGAGTATTTCTTTTCTTTCTCATCCAAAAGGTTATTTGTTCAATAGAAAGAGCTTTTCTTTCCCGAAATCAGGACAGTGTGGACAATCTGCTTTCTAAACCCCTACTGAGCCTTCCTGCTGAGGGATAGAAGAGCGGCCGGACAGTGCCGTCAGTGCGGGGGCTTGGAGAACAGGATGCCTTCCCGGCAGTCCCAAGCAGAAGGCATGGCAAAAATGAGCTTGTTCTGGAACAGCCACACAAAGGGCACAGTTGATCTGTTTCCAGCCTGGCCTCTGCCCGTTAATTAGAGTATCTCAAAAATGCTTAAATGTGCCTCCCACTCTCCCCACCTTGTCTTGTCCACACCCTTCTCTTTTCTCTGAGATGAAGCTAAGCATCCCAGAGGGAAGAAAGCAAAAAGAACATTTTGTGAATATCCACCTCGTGCCCAGCTCAGAGCTGGAAGCTTGACATTCATTCAGTCCTCAAAAAAAGACCTGCAATGTAGGTATAATTATCATCCCATTGTATACAGGGAGAAACTAAGGCAAGCTTAGAGAGGTTAAGCAATTTGCCCAAAATTACACAGCTAGTGATTGATGGAGCTATCATTTGAGTCCAAGTTCTTTCATTCCAAAGCCCATGCTATGTGTCCTATAATGTTGAAGTGGTGAGAGTGAACACCCTTGTCTTTTTCCTAAACTTGAAGGGAAAGCATTCAGTCTTTCACCATTAACTATGACGTTGTTCACTGTGGGGTTTTTAGAAGTGTCCTTTATCAGGTTAAGGAAGTTCCCTTCTATTTCTAGTTTAAGTATTTTTATTATGAAAAGGTGTTGGGTTTTGTCAAATGTTTTTCTGTCTATTAAAATGACTGTGTAAGTTTTTTCTTTTATTCCATTAATGTGGTATATTACATTGATTGACTTTTAAACATTAAACCAGACTTGCATTCTTGGGATAAATGCCATTTGGTCATGGTGTATAATCATTTTCTTATGTTGCTAGATTTTGTTTGCTAGTATTTTTCTTGAGGATTTTTATGTCTATATATCCGAGGTATTTGTCTATAGTTTTCTTTTCTGTACAGCAGCAATAGGAAACAAATATAATATCCCAGTCCAGGGTCTGACTCTTACCCTAAATCAAGCCAAAGACCTGGCTCATCAACCCTGCAGCCACAGGTCTCTCTCCCACTATTATCTCCAGATGGATATATCAACCAGAATGTCACTTTACTTATCTGCAAGGAGAGCTCTACCTGTAAGACAGAATCCTCATCTTGGCATGATCAGCACCTCCTATCAGACCAACACAGGAAGTCAACCCATATTTGGATGGAGGCTCAGGAACACAGAGTTGGAACAGGCAGAAGCAGATGAGTCACTGCTCTGGGTCTCCATCTTGGAGCCTGCTGCCCTCAGGTGCACAGTAGGCACAGCCTTGCCAAAGGAACCCTCATACCTGAATTTGTTAGCTAGATGCTGTCTTTCTTAGGTGGTATTTGGAACTCAGTGCCAACATCACCTTCTGAGAGGCTCCTTTTTCTTTGCATACTTAGCTGACCAATCCCTCTTAAGAGTGCTAGATGTGTTCTTTCTTTAGATTTGTGACTATTAAGTAATCCATTTAAAGCACTTAGAACACACACCCAGCCAAAAGTAGCACTCAACAAACATCAACTATCATCATCATCATCATCACCACCACCATTATTGTTACCAATATATTCAGTTCAGTTAGGTTCAAGTACAGTAGGGTTGGGGACCCTTTTCTCTCTTTAAGGTGACTTTATTTTCTCACTCTGCTCTTTATGCCCTAATTTTAAATGACTGAATTTTTTTTTTTTTTTTTTTGCCCCTTGAGACAGGGTCTCACTTTGTCACCCAGGCCAGAGGGCAGTGGCAAGAACACAGCTCACTGCAGCCTCAAACTTCCAGGCTCAAGCATTCCTCCCACCTCAGCCTCCCAAGTAGCTGGGACTACAGGCGTGCACCACCATGACTGGCTAATTTTTTTGGTATTTTGGGTAGTGACAGGGTTTTGCCATGTTGCCAAAGCTGGTCTTGAACTCCTGGGCTCAAGTGATCCTCCTGCCTCAGCCTCCCAAAGTGCTTGGATTACAGGCGTGAGCCACTGCGCCTGGCCAAATGTCTAAGTTCTTAAGGGAAGCCTCACTCCTTGCACTGACTGCAGAATGATGATCATACAAAGGCCGCTGGGATCACCGTTGGATGATTTATAAAGTCTTTTCAGTAAATGAGAAAACATGTGACGTCATGAGTGCAGTACCCGGCACAGAACAGAAACTCAACAAGTGTTTATACCCTCATGCACTGCTAGGCACTGAATTCTGTCCCCTCAAAATTCATGTGCTGAAGTCCTAACCCCCAGAACTTCAGAATGTGACCGTATTTGGATAAAGCCTTTCAAAAGAGTTAATTATGTTACAATGAGACCTTTAGGGTAGATCCTAATCCAATCTGACTAGTGTCCCTACAAGAAGAGAAAATCTGAACATACACAGAGACCCCAGGGTGCTTGCACCAAGGGAAGGCTATGTGAACAGGTAGCAAGAAGGCAGCCATCTGCAAGCCAAGGAAAGGGACCTGAGTAGAAACCAACACTGACCACACCCTGACCTTGGACTTCCAGCCTTCAAAACCACCAGAAATAAATTTCTGGGCTGGGCGCAGTGGCTCACACCTGTAATATCAGCACTTTGGGAGGCCGAGGCGGGTGGATCACTTGAAGTCAGGAGTTCGAGACCAGCCTGGCCAACATGGTGAAATTCCGTCTCTCCTAAAAATACAAACATTAGCCAGGTGTGGTGGCTCATGCCTGTAGTCCCAGTTACTTGGGATGCTGAGGCTCAAGAATCGCTTGAACCCAGGAGGTGGAGGTTGCAGTGAGCCAAGATAGTGCCACTGCACTCCAGCCTGGGTGACAGAGTGAGACTGTCTCAAAAAAAAAAAAATTTTTGTTGAAAGAAAGAAATTTCTGTTGTTTAGATCACCCGTTCCATGGTGTTTTGTTATAGCAGCCCCAGCAAATGAATAGTCTTCTTTTGAGAAGAAGTATTTTTGGCATTTGGGGATGGTGGAAAGTTTTAGGATGACTTAAAGGAAGTCCCCCATCCCTCTGCAGGCCTGAAATTCTGTCTTGTGAAGTAAGGAATGCACATTTCCCCCTCCAGGCTCTCTTCCTCACTGGCTCTTGGCTGCTGCACCTCACACTCGGTTGCAGGTGTCTCACTTCCTGAGGAAGGAGGTGCCATTAGCTTCACAATCCTCCCAAGAGTCCTGCCTGGGAAGTCGTGCCTCACAGAAGGAAACACCACTGGCACCACAGACACAAAAACTAAAATCGCAAATGACAGATTCGTGACTTCCCCGAGGGAATAAATAGCATGAACAGATGGGCCCTGAGGCTGGAACATTCATTTAAATCCTTATAGAATTTTGATAATTTAATGAATGTGGTGAGAAAAGAATGGCAAACCAGTACCAGCAAGCCAAAACACAGTTTGCCCACCTTGGTGTTTACCCAGGATGATTTTCCCATAATGAGGAGTGCAACAAGGTGACATGGACAAAGTATTTTCTGAGGGATTTCAAGCCTGTCTGTGAACTAGCAGCTTGCAAGCTGAATATTTTCTCTAGGTACCTCTTCAAGGCACCTCTCTGGGCAACAGTGCCAGGTGATTTCTAGGTAAGGGAGTAATTTATAGATATGCCTGGGACACAGACCAAGTGTGCTTAGAGCCCAGGGTCATCTCCCCTGGAGATCACTTGTCTGATTTTTCCAAACTGTCAAATCCTGCCTGTTCCCAATTAGTCTCTCCTTGCTCCTCTCTGGAGACCTTCAGTGAAGACACGCCCAGAATAGAGAAAGGAGTAGTGCATGAGGAGTCCGAAGACCTGCATCACAACTCTACCGCTCCTCACGTCTACTCTTCAGAAAGTGCTAGACAAATAACTGGCCTTCAGCAAATGCAAATCCTCAGGCACACCTCCCCATTTGTGTGCCATAAGTCACACAGTATGCACAGGGACCACTTTTGGAGTTTTTACTGCATGAATGGAACCAGATCCCGTCTCCCTAAGTTCTCCCGGGGTACCCAAGTGCAGGCTCTGTGGTTTTATGGCCTACCTACACTGTATCTTCCTCAAGCTCTTATTTCTTTCTTTTAATTGACAAATAAAAATTATGTATATTTGTTATATATAAAATGTTGTTTTCAAATATGAATACATCGTGGAATGGCTAAACCAAGCTAAACCTCACAGACTTATCTTTTTGTGTGTGTATGTGTGTATGATAAGAACACAAAATCTACTCCCTTTGCAATTTTTTGTTTTTGAGACAAGGTCTTGCTCTGTTACCAGGCTGCAATGCAGTGGTATGAACATGGCTCACTGCAGCTTTAATGAACTCCCAGGCTCAAGTGGTCCTCCCACCTCAGCCTCCCAGGTAGCTGAGACTACAAGCGCACACCACCATGCTTAGCTAATTTTTGTACTTTGTTTTGTAGAAACAGGGTTTTGCCATGTTGGCCAGGCTGGTCTCAAACTCCTGAGCTCAAGTGATCCTCCCACCTCAGCCTCCCAAAGTGTTGGGATTACAGGAGTGAGTCAGCACACCTGACCAGCAATTTTCAAGAATACAATACATTGTTATTAACTATAGCTACCAGGTTGTAGAATAGACCTCTTGAATTTATTAATCCTGTCAAACTGAAATTTAGTATCCTTTGACCAACAAGGATCTCCCCAACACACTCACTCCAGCCCCTGGTAACTACCATTCCACTCTCTACTTCGATGAGCTCAACTTTTTTAGATTCCGTTTATCAGTGAGATCAGGCAGTGTTTGTCTCTCTGTGCCCGGCGTATTTCATTTAATGTAATATCCTCCAGGATGAAGCTCTTATTTCAATAGATGTCTTGGAAAGTACAGGACTAAGAACAGACAAATGATTGGGGAAGATGAGCCCCAGGTGCAAAGTATCTTAATGGAACGTCCAGTTTTGTTAAATCACTCAGACAAAGCAGTCACTAGAAGCAGCAAAAAGGATGGAGAGGAAACCAGGATGGGGGAGTCTGCTCTGCAGCATGCATGTTGGCAGAGAAGGAGAAGCAGGGTGAGGTGTCCAAATGGCTTACAAGGCATAGGGATCAGAGAGTCAACCCAGCAGGAGAAAGCTGAGCCATTAAAAATTATTCAGACAGGGAAATCAACCCCAGCCATTCCTGCTTTCTAGACTGTTTCCCCAGGGAGGATGTCTGGAGACTCCATTTGTGTACAGCATGACTTAATTCTTGATGGAGGAGGGAGAGGATATCGTTGATCAACTCCTTCTCTGAATCTGACTCTGTACTCATTGTACCTGCATCTACGACACCCCTGGCTTTAATGGAACATATATCGATGAGATAATACATTTCTAGTAGCTGAGATAGTGGGAGTCCAAAGAGGAGATGGTTTAGCACATATTGGGAGTTCAGTCTTTGGCGTCAGACTCCTGGAGTCAACAGGCAAGCATTACTTTTAAAACACCATTGGGCCGGGCGCAGTGGCTCACGCCTGTAATCCCAGCACTTTGGGAGGCCAAGGCAGGCGAATCATGAAGTCAGGAGATCGAGACCATCCTGGCTAACATGGTGAAACCCCGTCTCTACTAAAAATACAAAAAATTAGCTGGGGGTGGTGGCAGGCACCTGTAGTCCCAGCTACTCGGGAGGCTGAGGCAGGAGAATGGCGTGAACCCAGAAGGCAGAGCTTGCAGTGAGCCGAGATCGCGCCACTGCACTCCAGCCTGGGTGACAGAGCGAGACTCCATCTCAAAAAAAAAAAAAAACACTATTAATATATAAATAGATGGTTTCTTGAGGTGAGCGCGAAGGGGAAAGGAGTGGTGTAAAGGAATTAATTCCCTGGGCAAGATAAGCACCCATGTGGTTCAAGAGAGCTGGTGTTCAGATCTTATTTGCATTCATCTCTAAGCCAACTCTGCTTTCTTCCCTTCCAGCTAATGGGTGCCCTGCTCGGTTTGCCCACATGTCAAGTCTACCTTCAGACAGAAAAGAAAAAAATATAAAAAGGTAAAAAATAATGACATAATAGACATGAAAGAAAAAGAAGCAAGATTCTACCCAAGAATTATGGGAAAATAAAGCAATAGAAACAGTAATAATAATTGAAGGTTTGCTCTGTCACTGGGTCTTGGCTGCACATTAGGATCATTGGGCAGCTTATTTTTAAAAAATTCAATTTATACTCCCATCCCTAGAGATTCTGGCTTAAGTATTCTCAGGAGGGTTAGGGGGGAAAATTAATAAATTTCTCACTTGATTCTAAAGTACAGCCAGGATTGAGAACCACAGCACTAGATAAAAACTCGCCTGAGGTGAAGAAAACTTTGACTCGAAATCAGCGGTGCTCACTAAACTTCAAGCAAAGTTAGCCTTACCTTAACACTTTTTTATTTCAAAGAGAAAAAAAAATGAAACGAGTTACTAACATAAGACCAAAAATTAGCGTGTTAAAAGACTAGTTCTCTGCCACCTTAAACCATGGGAAACAATTTGCAAAAATCTTAAGCGAGGGGATGACTGTATAGACTGCAGAGGTTAACAGTTCAGGCTTCAGAATCAGAAAGTCTTGAGTGGGTGCTGCAGCTCTGCCATCTACTACCTGAATCATGTTGAGAAAACTGGAAGGATTAAATGAGATATTGAATTTAAAGAACTCAAAGCCTAGATTGTATTAAGTTCTCTATAAGTGAAATGTTTCTTTTACTTTTTCTTTCTTTTTTTTTTTTTTTGAGACAGGTTCTCACTCTGTCACACAGGCTGGAGCAGTGGCACGATCACAGCTCACTGCAACCTCAGTCTCCCAGCCTCAAGTGATCCTCCCACCTCAGCCTCCCAAGTAGCTATGACTACAGGCGCATGCCACCACACCTGGCTAATTTTTGTATTTTTTGTAGAGATGGGGTTTCACCCTGTTGCCCAGGCTGGTTTCCAACTTTCGGGCTCAAGGGATCTGCCTGCCTCAGCCTCCCAAACTGCTGAGATTACAGGCATGTGAGCCACCGTGCCTGCCCTCTATTCTTATTTTAAAATACAAAGCATTTTTAAGAGACAAAGTAATATGGTTTGGCTCCATGTCCCCACCCAAATCTCATGTTGAATTATAATTCCCAAATATTGGGGGAGAGACCTGGTGGGAGGTGATGAGATTACGGAGGCAGATTTCCCCATGCTGTTTTCACGATAGTGAGTGTGTTCTCACAAGATCTGATGGTTTAAAAGTGTGTGGCACTTCCTCCCTCACTCTCTCTCTCCTGCCACCATGGGAAGAAGGTGCTTGCTTCCCCTTCACCTTCCGCCATGATTTTAAGTTTCCTGAGGCCTCCCAGTCATGCTTCCTGTTAAGCTTGTGGAACTGTGAGTCAATTAAACCTCTTTTCTTCATAAATTTCCCAGTCTCAGGTAGTCTTTTACAGCAGTGTGAAAACAGACTAATACAAAAAGCCTTGCTCTGGCGCCCAGGCTGGAAACCATACAAATACAAAATCAAAGGCAAATCGATTTGGAAAATATTTGCAACACTTATGAGAATATTTCTTATAAGTATTTCTTATGAGAGTAACAAGGAGAATAATATCTTCAATATATGCGGAGCTTTTACAAATATGGAAAACACTAATGCTTAATTTAAAATGGACATACAGCATGGAAAAACAATGTTTAGAAGGGGACATACAATCAGTCAATAAATAAAAGTGCTCAATCTCATAAGCAATCAAATAAATGAAAAATAAAATATTTTCTCACCTAACAAATTGACAATGTTTTATTTTCCTTCTAAGGATAATACTCATTGCAAACAAAGATGCATTGAGGGGCACATGCATAGTGCTAGCTGTCAGGTTAACTAGAACAAGCTTTCTACAATGCAACTTGGCAGCATGAATGAAGAGCTTTATCATTTATAAGTTTTCCTATTTTCCAAATTGTATTCAATGGCAAATACCACCTTTCTAATCAGAAAGAAAAAGTTAATAGGCATAAGGAAACCAGCCACCTGGCTGGAAACTTGAATATTCACTAATTTCAGCAATAGATTTGGGTAATTTCCAAATCCATGGCAAACGCAAAGCTTGAAACGAGTCGCACTCTGGGTATTGTATCAGTTTACACAATCAGAGCCAGGAGTGGGGTTTGTCACTTGCTAAATTCAGGCAGGTCACCAAATGGCCCAGATCTAAGCATGAGAACAAATGAATTGCTGGCCGTAGCTCTGTACTCGCGTCTCAAATGACAAAGTACCTTAGGAAATCTTAACTTCTTTCTTCATCCATTGGAGCTATTTAATATCTCCCTGAGAGCTAAAAGATTGTCAAATTAGAAAAGGATTTATCCTTAAAAAGATAGCTCCTACCGTTGGGGAAAGCTTATTCCCTTAGAAATGCCAACCCTTTGCTCCTTGCAAAGATATGCTCCCTGCCAGCATTTTATTTATGTATTTTGGACCCTGCCTTGTTTTAAAAAGTGAAGCAACTGGCCAAGCATCCTGCAGAGGATTCCATCTGCTACAGGCCAGACAGAAGCTGAGGATTAGGAGTAAAAGCCGGGAGCCCCAAGCGGATCAGCCAGCACGCCCACCCCCACAGGCCCTGCCTCCAAGCCGAGACAGCTCATTCACCAGTATATAAAGTATTGCAAGTCTCCACACAGAGCCGATGAGAGGAGGCAAGAAGCTATGAAGAGGAACCAGAAATGGAGGAAGGAGGCAGATTAATTTTGTTCATTCAAACAAGAATGAGTGAAGCGTAATCACAGCAAGAGCTATTATGATGATGATGACAGAGAGATGTCCCTCCCTGGCATGGCTCTGGTTTGGACTGGGCTGTCTGATGTGGTGGCTTCTGTGTATAAAGTTTTCTTGAGACAGTGTTCAGCCTCACCTCGGCCCTCTTGGGCAGTAGGGAGCCTCTCAGAAAGGGGCAGCTGGGTCCCGCTTCAGACCCTCCAGCTGTCCACACACCCAGCCTCTTCTCCAGGCAGATTTCCTCCTTTTGTGATTGAGCCTGGACAGCCCTGGGGCTCCTGCTCCTCCCCTACACATCAGGCTTCTTCCTGTGGAGCTTTCTGTACCTTCCCAAGCCCTCAATGAATGCAAAGGAAAAAATGTTCTTTTCTTCCCTTAGCACTGTACTACCACCCATCTTTCTTGCTGGCATGGGCTACTCCATTAAATCAGCTGCCTGCCAAAATTTCCAGACTAGAAGAGGCACCAGGCTCTATGTCTTCTATGCCCCAAACTCCAGGGCACACATCAAACCCTCTAAAGCACTCTCCTGAATAGTAGACTCCATTCCACCAGAACCATGGATCAGCAAACACCCAGCTAGGGTGCAAGGTACCCTGTCTCCCTTTTTGCAAGCATCTCCACTCCCCATAAGGGAGTCTCTTGGAGGCCCTTTTCTTGGTTTTATGGGGAACAAAAAGTGTTTCACCTCAAGCTAGTATTTGTTACAGGCCAAGATTTCAAAAATTCTACCCACTTTTTTTAATCCCTCTACTTACATAGACCCAGGGGCTTAGAGTTGTGGGTCCCAAAGCCAGTTTTGATACCTCTTGAAAGTCATGAGGAATTCCAGTTATTTAACAAATAGAGTGTCTAAGACTTTATTTTTAGCTTTGCAATCTGAATGCCCATTCGGGGCAATAAAAAAGTCCCACTCAACATCTTGTTACATAGGGAACTTGCTTTGGTAGATCAAATTTTTACTCCCAATTCTTTTCCCCCATGTAATATGATTATAATCCACATTCTTGCCATGTCACTTTGCCATGTCTTCTACTGTGAGAAGAGTATACTTTCGCACTTTACTGACATGGGTTTGGGTTTGGCCATGTCATTTGCCTTGGCCAATGAAATGCTAGCAAACATGATGAGTGCAGAGGCTTTAAATATACTAGGACAGTTTAACATTCCTCATGTCCTCCTGCCATTTGGCATGAGAAGAAGGAGAAGAATATGTCCCTGGTAGCTGCTGGTAGCATCTGGTGGAGAGATGAGAGATGCCTGGAGCAGACCTGAACTTGACTTACAGCATGAAGGAGAGCCAATCCCAGTTGACTGGCCACCTCATAAGTAAGATAAATATAGTTTGTTGTATGAGCCACTGCAATAATTAGGGCTATTTGTTAGGCAGCATTATTGCTATACAGTAGCAGCTAATTAATACCCTCGCTATATGTCCAACATTGTGCTGAGCACTGTATTGTCTCCTTTAATTCATTCCTTTTAACAAGTGTGTAAGATAGAATTCTCGTTAATATTATCCTTGTTTTACAGGTTAGGAAACTGAGGTGCAGAGAATTTTAGCACAATTAGTAAGTGAAAGAGACAAGCTTCAATCCCAGCAATCTAGCTCCAGACCGATACTCTTGCCACCATGGAACAAAAAGCAGGAGACAAAGATGTGGCTCTGTGCTCTTCTAAGTCTGCATACTGGTACAGACCTCAGGCTCAAAACCATTGTGACTATTGATATCGTTTGCCTGTGTCCCCACCCAAATCTCATCTTGAATTGTAGCTTTCATAATCCCCACATGTCATGGGAAGGACTTGTTGGGAGGTAACTGAATCATGGGGGCAGGTTTTTCCCATGCTCTTCTCATCATAGTGAATAAGTCTCACAAGATGATGGTTTTATAAAGAGCAGTTCCCCTGCACATGGTCTCTTGCCTGCCGCCATGTAAGACATGCCTTTGCCCTTCCTTTGCCTTCCTCCATGATTGTGAGGCTCCCCCAGCCACATGGAACTGTGAATCCATTAAACCTCTTTTTCTTTATAAGTTACCCAGTCTTGGGTATTTCTTCATAGCAGTATGAGAACAGACTAATACAGCCGTTTATGAGTTCCCTATCAGTACAAGCCTGACCAGACTGCAAGGGCTGAGGCAATTTTTCTAGCTCTGTCAGTGCATGCAAAGAGGATAAGACAGGCTTCCCTTCCAGAATGCATGACCCTTCTCTGAACTTTGAGTAGGGAAAGTCCCACGGGAAATTCTAACCAAGAAACAATCCTGTCATTGTGAAGTGCAGTCATACAACGTTCTGCACGGGATGCAGAGCACACCTCATTCTCTGCCTATTTTTATTCTCTCTAAGCAAATATCTGGGGCTCTCAAAAATTATTACACAATTGCCAGCTGCTGGGATTATACAAATAACGTGACAATAGCAAAGCAATATGCTGACCGGTGTTCAAACACCAACACACAACAGCAAAGCAGCCAGGGGTGCCAGTCCTCATTCACAGCCTGCAAACAGAAGCAGCACAAATGAAGGCCACCCACTCCCTCCTGGTTTTAGGAAAACAGAGTAGCAGGCAGTTTGACACCGAGATGGATTTTTTACTCTTCAACTTCCAAGATGTCCTATGCACAGGGAGAATGCAAGGTCATGTTCTTTAGCAAAATGTTCTTCATAATTGTGATTCAACAATGTACCCCTTTCTTTAACCAAGTTAGGACTTCTGATGAGCAGCAGTTGGGCTTAAAGGTCTTCAAATTATAAGCAAGCTAGAAATTCTGAAGCATATAATAATGTATTATATATGTATATTTATGTGTGTGTGTATGTGTGTGCATGTACTCTGTTAAGGTGTATGTGAAACAAAGCTTCTTTACAAACTTCTACACTATACACCCTGAGGGCAGAGATCACGTTTTCCTTACCTATCATTAACTCTGATGCCTAACACAATGAGAAGTCAATAAACATTTGCTGAATAAATAAATAAATGTAAAAGGCATTTTAGGGAGAATTATATCTTTGAATTTTGCATAGTTTAATTCTTAAAATGCAAGACTAGGGCAAGCAAGGAGATGGTTATAAAAATGTGAACCCCTTAGAAACCCCTTAGAAAAAAATAAGGAAGGCCAGGCGCAGTGGCTCACACCTGTAATCCCAGCACTTTGAGAGGTCGAGGCGGGTGGATCGCTTGAGTTCAGGAGTTCAAGACCAGCCTGGGCAACATGGCGAGACCCTGTCTCTACTAAAAATACAAAAAAAAAAATAGCCAGGCATGATGGTGGGTGCCTGTGGTCCCAGCTACTCAGGAGACTGAGGTGGGAGGATTACTTGAGCCTGAGAGGCAGAGGTTGCAGTGAGCCAAGATCACACTACTGTACTCCAACCTGAGTAACAGAGCAAGACTCTGTTTCAAAAAAAAAAGGAAGGGGAGATGGAGAAATAGCCCACTTTCAAAGTCGTCAACACTCACCAACAAAGGTAGCACTGTGTTATCTTTATTTCAGCAACAGAAGCCAGCTCAGTGTGTGTGGTGGACGTCTGTGGGTTTCGCCTGCTCAGGACCCATGTCCTCTTCTTTCAGCAACAACTCTCCAATTTTCCTTTAAAGGTAGCACTTTGTAATCTTTATTTCAGCAAGAGAAGCCAGCTCAGCGTGTGTAGTGGACACCTGTTGGCTTTGCCTGCTCAGGACCTATGTCCCCTTCTTTCAGTAACAACTCTCCAGTGTTCCTTTAAGAAACTCCCCTTTCCTCACTACCTGCCATCTTGGGAGTCATAGTGATGGTGCCCTCAGGAATGGGCATGTGACCCCAGTTGGGCTAGGCTCTCTCATCCTAGATTGTGCATCACGAACTGAGCACACAAAGCTAGAAAATGGCTGGAGGACTCAGACCCTGGGACGTGTTTCCAAATAGCCCATTGATTAGCAAGGGAGCAGGCTGGGCTTTTGACAGACAGAGTGGGAACTTCCCGAGAACACAGCATGGAATTTCTGTCAATACACGAGCACTCCCAGAGACCCGTTCTTCTGCTCTTTCAGCTAGGGCCCTTTTCCTGAAGCTTTCCCTGGAGCCTAGCACAGAGCACAGAGGAGAACTCTAGGCTGGAAACAGTGATTCTCATCATAAAGCTGCTGCAAGAAAACAGTTACCTCCCCTCTTAGGCCTCAGTCTCTTCCTCCATAGGATTAAGAGACTGGGATTAAATAGCCACAGAGGAACCTTGTGTGTTGAGTCAATAAAAACGGACCCCTTGGGTCCCTGGGCGCCAGCAACACCAAGCTCACATTGTCAGGGCCAGCGAGGCCTGGAGTTTAAAGCAGTTAATCCCTTGGCTGGATGACTCCGACAAAGAGGATTAACCTCAGATGAGAGAGTTATCATCCAAATATAGAGCAATCCCAAGCACACACATTAGAGATAGGACGTTTCCCCATCTTCTTGTGTAAACTCTTGTTCTCTCACCCTTGTGGTGAACTCATAGATTAACCCTCCCAGCACCTCAAGGTTAAGGTGTTAGACTGTCCAGACCCTCTCCATGTTCCTCTAACACCTTTCTCAGTTCTCCAATCCAGGGTACATTGTTTGTCCCTTTTTTTTTTTTTTTTTTTTTTTTTTGAGATGGAGTCTTGCTCTGTCGCCCAGGCTGGAGTGCAGTGGCGCGATCTCGGCTCACTGCAAGCTCCGCCTCCTGGGTTCGCACCATTCTCCTGCCTCAGCCTCCCGAGTAGCTGGGGTCTCTTTAAGGCACTTTAAGTTTGGAAAATAACTAACCATTGAGCACCTACTATGTGCCAGGGACTGTGTTAGACACCGGAGCTACAGTAGTAGACAAGGTGGCACAGTCTTTCTCTCAGGGAATCTATAGTCCAGTGGGAAGGCACCTATTATTGTGCACAATGTACCCTACTACGCACTGACAAACATGATCTCCTTCAATGACTCAACAATCCCAGAAAATAGACCTTACTGCGACTATTTTAAAGATCAGGAAATTGAGGCTCTGTGAAGTTAAACTTGTCTGAGGCTATGCAACCTGTATCAGAAAGAACCTCTGGGTTTAAAAATGATATGGGATTCTATAATATATTCCTATTATTTTGTAGAAGTCAGAAACAATGAGAGAAGAAAAGGGAAAATATTGAACTTCAGCCTTTTCAGATGTATATGCTCCTGGTATATTCATCGCGGGAAAAAAGTTGGATGTTTACCCCAGTCGTTTTCTCTATTAAAGAGCACCCAGGCTACAGGCAACCCAACAGCCCAGCTATAACCTTTTAATCTTTATGTTATCAAGAAACATGCCTCTGGATCCTCCTCAACTTGTTCCCATAAGCTTATGAGAAATAGCTCATTGAAATTTCAGCTTCTGTGTGGGTGAAAGTCAGCTAAACTACTGCAACAAACAAACTCTAAGATGTGTGTAGTTGAGCATAGGCAGAGTTTATTTCTCGCACTTGAGATAGCCTCATGCAGGGGCAGCCAATAGATGAAAAGGAGCCTGGAAGAGCACACCTTTCTCACCGCATCAACAAAACTGTTACGTGGCCACGCCCACTTGCAAAGGAAGCCTGGAGATGTAGTCTATGTGCCCAGGAGGACGAGGAAATGAAGCCAGCTGGTCTTTGCCAAAGGCTTCTAAACTGCATACTTAACATGATTACATCTGGGTCAGGCATAGTGGCTCATGCTGTAATCCCACTGCTTTAGGAGAGGCCAAGGTGAGAGCACCGCTTCAGGCCAGGAATTCAGGACTAGTCTGGGCAAAATAGGGAGACCCCATCTCTCAAAAAAGAAAAAAATTAATTTAATAAAAATTAGCCAGGAATGATGGTGTTTGCCTTTTCATCCCAGCTACTCAGGAGGCTGGGGTGGGAGGGTCTCTTGAGCCCAGGAGTTTGAGGCTGCAGTGAGCCATGACGGCACCACTGTAATCCAGCCTGGGTGGCAGAGCAAGACCCTGTCTCTAAAAGAGAAAGAATAGAATTCAAAATGCTACATAAATGGTGGGGATTATAAGTAAGTTTTCCTTTTCTTTGCCCTATTTTCTAGATGGTCTGTAATATGTCTTTAATGTATCCAAAATGATGAGGAAAAAGAGAAAGCGGGAAAATCCCCTAATCAGTGAGTCTTTGAGGAGTTATGGGTAGAACTATATAATCCAGGTAACTACCCAAGAAATACAGGCAAATCCTGCTTCCCTGATTCCCTTGCTTCTCTCTCATCTTTTTCAAACAGAACTTTCCACTCCATTTGTTTTGGGTAACAACAACCTAAAAGCTTTTTCTTTCTTAAATGCTTTCCATGCTCTCTGGGATCTTTCTGTGCCTCAGAGCATTTCCAAGACTTCAATCACAGTTTCCAAGGCTGCTTCTCTATTTGGATGGAGATCTGTGACCAAGACCAAACCAAACTTGTGGTCTGCTTAATTCACACCCGGCCACACATCGTGGCTGAAGCACAGGACAGCGGCGATCTCACCACTTGCAGGAGCATTTCAGGAGCCAAGACAACCAGCTCCTCTGTATCACCATGGTTCTCGAGCTTCTTCCTCCTTGGCACATCTGGTGACAACATTTAAACCCACAAGAGATTCTAGTGGGCGTCCTGCTACTTCTCACCAAACTTCTCCCCATCCCCCTTCTCCCTATCCCCACCCGACCCAACCCTCACCCCACCCCCAGCCAATACCACCTCAGACCCCATGTTTTGGCCACAGCAGATGACATAGTTTGGATGTGTGTCCCTGCCCAAATCTCATGTTGAAATGTAATCCTCAGTGTTGGAGGTGGGGCCTGGTGGAAGGTAATAGGATCATGGGGGTACATTTCTCATGAATGGTTTGGCACCATTCCCTTGGTGCTGTCCTGGCAATAGTGAGTGAGTTCTCATGAGATCTAATCACTTAAAAATATGTGGCAACTCCCCTCTCTCTCTCTTGCTCCTGCTTCTGCCATGTGACATGCCTGCTGTCTCTTTGCCTTCTTCCATAATTGGAAGCTTCCTGAGGCCTCTCCAGATGCCACCATGCTTCCTGTGTAGCCTGCAGAACCATGAGCCAATTAAAACTCTTTTCTTATAAATTACCCAATCTCAGGTATTTCTTTATAGCAATGAAAGAACAGACTAATACACCAAACCCCCTATTGTTCCAAAATCAACCATGCATTTTCAGGTCTACATGCTTCTCCTGAAACCATTCCCTATCCTCCCCACAACAGCCCAACCTTCAAGGCTCATCAGACAATATCCCCTCTCCTGTCCAATAGCTTTGCCTGGCCCCCCGTCTTCTTTCCTCATGCAGCAATAGCAACGGCTTCCAGCCTCACTCTCCCCAATTCTCTCAGCATGTACCTCCCCACCTTGTACTCTAAGTATTAATTAATGAGCTCCCCTACTGCAGAGCTCTGAGCTGACAGGCTCTGGGGCTCTTTGCCCTGCACCATCTCAAAGAACCACAAGAAAGTAAGAGTTTGCTCAAGAATCCAGGAACTGACTGGAAGGCCAAGCCAGCCAGCAGGGGCCTTGCTTGTCTAAAGAAATGGGCTGAAAGTAACAAGACATAAACCTGGGAGTGACACAGGTAAAACTGAGAAACCTGATAGGACTAGCCCGGCCTCTGACAGCCCTCTGTAGTGCCCCGAGATGCTGCATGCTGAGCCACCGAAGAAGCAGGCGGCCACCAGTCCTGTGATATGAGGGTGGGAGCCCAGCACAGCTTTTCTGCCACAGACGTGGGCGGCGCCACCAAAAAAAAGACCTTATCCATCATGGGAAATAGGAGAAGCTGGCTCAGCACCCCACCGTGTTTTCATATACCCTTTCTCATCTACTTCTCCATTGTCCCATTTGAGTTTCTCTTCTTTGCCTTAAGTTTCAAGCTACTGCCTTTACATTGCTACCCTATAGCTTTCCTTTCCTTAAAGCTTCATGTTTATGCTTTGCTTTAAAAAACAAAAATTAAAGTGGCTGCATTTAATTCACAGACCCTTACACTGGCATGTGTGGGATGTGTTCGTCACTTGTCATAGTGCTAGGGGTGGAACTAAATTCCTTGAGCCCTCCAGGGTCAAGGGCAGAGGCTCCCGACATTCCCATGACCTTTCCAGCCCCATCTCCCAGGCCCAGCACTTTGCCTAGGGCAGGCCACCCCACGGTGCCTCTTCCTCTCCCGCAGAGCCTCCCACGTGCCAGCTGGGCTCCATTCCTCGGCGCCATCTGCTGCACCCCAGATCAGGCGAGAGGCCACGGTCAGATTCTGCGTGCGATAGAGCAGGGATGGCAGGCAACACAGGAGCCACCCTCACTGGGCCTGGGCTCTGGGAGCCAGGCAGGGAAAATCCCAGAGGATTGAGCAATCAGAGGAGGCTGTTGAGGGGCCTAACCAGGCTCTCACCTGCTTGGGAGAACTAGTTGTGCCATTTCAGAGGGTTTCTAAGCATGACAGTGTAGGGGACCCACACCCCGTTTTCCTGTTCTCTCTTGGCCTCTCATACAAACTTAACATTGCTACAGCCCCGACCTGAGCTTTGACCCTCTCTCCATCATTAACTTACTGTATGAATCCAGGAGCCAATTAAACCTCTTTTCTTATAAATTACAATTCTGTTTTCATGGTCATTTCATGAGAGAAACATGCAAATGAACACTGCTAAGAAGAAGGAACAGAACACGTTAATGGATAAATGAGCTGTCCATCATTACTCCTGAGTGAGCGTGATTTGTAATGTGAGTAATGACGGACAGCTCTTTTATCCACCCAAATAAGCTATTTCCGAGGTGGATGCAGTGGTTCATGCCTGTAATCCCAGCACTTTGGGAGGCCAAGCCTGGAGGATTGCTTGGGAAATCCAGCCTGGGCAATATAATGAGACCTCGTCTCTACAAAAAATTAAAAAATTAGCCAGGTATGGTGGGACACGCCTATAATTCCAGCTACTTGGGAGGCTGAGGTGAGAGGATTGCTTGGGCCCAAGAGGCAGAGGTTGCAGTGAGACCAAGATTGTGCCACTACACTCCAGCCTGGGCAACAGGGCAAGAACATGTACCAAAAAAATTTTTTTAATTATTTCCTTCCTTGAATAATAAGAAGTTTGGATTCCCCGCTTTCTAGGGTCCCTTCGAGCTCTGAAACTGTAAGATCCTACAGTTCAATTAAGGTCTTCATTGACTTGAGCATATTCTGGACCTGAAAAGGAACCTGCCCATGAAATATTCATTAAAACAAATCACGCTCACTCAGGGGTAATGATAGACAGCTCATTTATCCATTAACGTGTTCTGTTCCATCTCCTTAGCAGTGTTCATTTGCAGGTTTCTCTCATGAAATGATCATGAAAACAGAATTGTAAATCACACCTATCACACCTAGGTGAGTTTTGGGAGCCTAGAGCTCCTGCCCACACACATATCACCTGGGGTTGACATAAGAAGTACTTAACAGCACCAAGCTCCCAGTTTGAACAGTCAACTTCCAAATCCAGACACCTGTGATTCAACAATCAGCTTCTGGATGCAGACATCCGTGATTCAAGAAGGCCCCAGCGGTCTGGAAGAATTACCTTCTCTTGCATCTATGCAGAGCTGGCAGGAAACAAATGAGATTGTGCATCCACTTTTCCAAGGGTACTTTTGTCTGTCATTTCTTTTCTCTGCGCCTCAGATATCTCATCTGTAAAATGGGCACAGGAGGAAGGATGTAGCCTATCTGCCTCCTGAAGAAGTTCAGTTCTGAGGGGCTAGACAGTCATCCGTTAGGAGAGAATTTTCAATTGCCTTTTGTGAAAAGAAAATTAATGCTACTCTCTCCCCTGCCAACCCATACAGAATCAAGCTCTAACAACTGAAGGGAACAGGAGGTGGGTGGAGCAGAAGTGTGTATAGAAAACAGGAAGACTTAACGGGACCACAGGCTTCTGTGTGGGAGCTGAAGCAGGGAACCCAGGTGTGGGTCTTTGTTGCTAAGTCAGGAGACACTGTTGCGTTACCTGTAATCAAAGGTCAGGACAGCAAGGGAGCTTTGGCTTTGCTGACGATGTAACTGGGGGCTTAAAGGGAAAGCTGAGTATATGATTCTTGATCTAGGGGATGTCAGAATGGTAGCCAAGGCATGAGGGTGGTGGAGAGAGGGTAACATTAGCTGCTGAGTACCTGCCAGAGACTTAGCTCATCACTGTCACTTACCTGCTGATCTCTTGCCCAGGCCGGGAGGAGCAACCAAGAGAGCCACAGCCAACAGAGAAAACACAGCAGCATTTATTCACCATGTATCTAATAAATACGTATAGTGTGCCTACTATGTGCCTGGAACAGGAAGAACCACAGACCTTTCCAGAAGAACACCATGCAGTGGATTCTGTGGGAGCCACAAAGGCATCAGACAGGAAAGCTTCTGCATCTATATACTACACATGACTCCAAAATTTTCATTATGGAATTCCAACAAACTATGCGACACTGCAGAACTGAACTAAGGAGATTGGCTTATTGCAGAGAAGGGAGGTTAGTTTTCCTCTGAGGCACCTTGAAATGTCTAGCCCATAAGGCTAGACATTTTATTATTGTCCCTTTGTCTAATTTTGAACATTATGGGCCCCATGGAAATAATCTTCTAAATGGCACTGTGAACATCAAATTCTCATTTCTCCCTTCACATAAAATCTTTAAGTCCTTCAGCTGGTATGGTAATCCTTTAATCAATATTTACACCAACATAGTTCCAAGTCCAGGAGCATGAAGGAGACTGCAGAACACTGGGGTATGATTACTATCATCATCATCATCACCACCACCACACCACACCACCATCATCACCTTACAACTGAGGAAACCCAGGCTCAGGGAAATTAAATAATGTGCTCAAGTTTACACAGCTAGAAAGTAAGGAAGCTTGGGCTGGGCATGGTGACTCACACCTATAATCCCACCACTTTGGGGACTAAGGTGGAAGAATCACTTGAGCCCATGAGTTCAAGACCAGCCTGGGCAGCATAGCAAGATCCCACCTCTACAAAAAAATTTAAAAATTAGCCGGGCATGGTGGTGCATGCCTGTATTCCCAGCTACTTTGGAGGCTGAGATGGGAAGATCACTTGAGCCCGGGAGGTCAAGGCTGCAGTGAGCTGAGTTCACGCCACTGCACTCCAGCCTGGTTGACAGAGTGAGACCCTGTCTCAAAAAAAAATAGAAAGTTAGCGGGCACGGTGGCTCACGCCTGTAATCCCAGCACTTTGGGAGGCCAAGGCGGGCAGATAACAAGGTAAAGAGATCAAGACCATCCTGGCCAACATGGTAAAACCCCGTCTCTACTAAAAATACAAAAATTAGCTGGGCGTGGTGGCACGTGCCTGTAGTCCCAGCTACTCAGGAGGCTGAGGCAGGAGAATCGCTTGAACCCGGGAGGCAGAGGTTGCAGTGAGCTAAGATTGTGCCACTACACTCCAGCCTGGTGATAGAAGGATACTCCATCTCAAAAAATAAATAAATAAATAAATAAATAAATAAACAAACAAATAAAGTAATGAAGTCTGAGTGCAAACCCAGTTCTGTCTGATGCTAAAGCCCACTGCTCCATCCTAGCCCCATGTGGTCAGGCCTAGTAACCACACGTAAAAATGAAGGGCAGCTTGCATCTCTTTCTCACACTTCCTTCTGGGATTTGGTTCTTTTTCTCCGCCACTGGCACATTCTCCATCTCTCTCTCTCTCCCTCACACACACACACACACAACCACTTTCAACAGCAGTACCTGCTTTTTCTTGTTTCACTCCCTTCACCAACATCATTGCAAACAAAACTTATATAGAATCAGACACACCACGAGAAGAAAATGGACAGCACCCACAGCCTGAGGCTGAAGTCATTCCAGCCCTCCCCTTTTCCTATGAAGGCTATTCCCTATTTCTTCCTTTTATAAACAGGAACACATTATGCAAGCTACTGTAGATGTGGGGTTTCTCAAGCAAGCTGGTGACACTCGGCATAAATTGATTTAAATAAAATTCTCCCCTTTCAAGATTCTTCCTTGCTTCTGCCTCATCTTAAATTAAGAGCAGTACAATAATAACCCAAGAACATCACACCCCTGAATTTCAGCCACCTCCCTCTAAAGGATCTTTTCTCATTTTTTGAAAATATGAGCTATTTTTTGGTTTCCACTTGTTCCTCTTTCTTTCTTGTCACCACACGTTGCTTTCCGTATGATATAAGCGATTGGAGCCTTCACATTTAAAGCCTCTTTTTAGTGCATAAGATCCACAATAAGGCTCCCATGAGACCTTGTAAAGAAAGGAAATAACTTCAAGGAGTTACACTTCAAAATCCACCAAAGCAAAGATTTGCAGTCAACTCTAGTAAGTAAGTGGTTCCATTCACTCATTCAGTACATATCCATTGAGGATATACAATGTGCCAGACAATATTCTGGGCACTAGTGATACAGCAGTGACTTGGCTCACGGAAAAATAAATAACATGCTAATGATACTCAAACCTATGTCTCCTTCCTGAAACTCTTCCCTGAACTCTAGACTCTCATATGCAATGAACTACTTAACATCTCCCATTGGATATCCAATTAAACCCCATCACTGTTTCCTCTCCACCTCACTAAAGTGCTACTCCATCCAGCTGCTTAGGTCAAAATTCATTATGTCATCTTTTTCTCATACTCTAAGTATCTAACTCATCCACACATCCTGCCTGCTTTATGAATTTAGCCACTTCTCACCATCTTTTTTTATTTTTATTTATTTTTGACATGATCTCAATCCATTGTCCAGGCTGGAGTACAATGGCATTATCGTGACTCACTGCAGCCTCGACCTCCCCAGGCTCAGGTGATCCTCCCACCTCAGACTCCCGAGTAGCTAGGGCTACAGGCATGTGCCACCACACCTGGCTAATTTTTTTATTTGTTGTAGAGTTGGGATTTTGCCACGTTGTCCAGGCTGGTCTCAAACTCCTGAGCTCAAGTGATCCACCCACCTTGGCCTCCCAAAATGCTGGGATTACAACTTCTCACCATTTTAAGTACTATCCAGCCTGGTCCAAACCACCACCCTCTCTCACCTGGGTCACTGCAGTACCATCCTGACTAATCTCCCTGTTTCCACCCTTATCCTCCAAGAGTCTACACTAAGCTCTAAAGCTCAAGGGATCCTTGGAAAACATAAATCAGCTAATAGCACCCTGTGCTCAGAATTCTCCAGTGGTGTCCCATTTTCCTCAAAATAAAGGCTAAAGTCTACACAAGGCCCTACAGGACCTTCTATTAGCTGGCTCCCTGCTACTTCTCTGATCTCTTCTCCCACGCTCACCCTGTCTCGTTCAGTTCCTTCTACATAAGCCACCTTGCTGTTCCTGGAACATGCCAGTTATCTGTTGCCTCGGGGCCTTTGCACCTGTTCTCCCTACCTGGAAATGTCTTTCCCCAGATAACTGTCTGGCTCACTCCTTCACTTCCTTCATGTCACCCTGACCACCTTGCATAAAATACCCACACTTCGTTTTACCCTACCCTCCCACTCCAACACAACAAGGCACCCCCCATCTTCCTTTCCCTGCTCAACATTCCTTAATCACCTGATATAAAACATACATTATTTACTTACATATTATTTGTCTCCCTCAACTAGAATGAATGCTTCATGAGATGGGTCTACTTCCTATAACATGCCTGGCACATAGAGACCACTCAATAAATATTTATTTAGTGAATGAATGATTATCTAAAGATACATACATCTCTAGATGGTCAACCACAGAAACACAGAAAGAGACAGTCACAAGAGCAAGTACAGGCTCTGCCCATTCGAGCAGAGTCCGGAAGAAAAGGAAACCTAGCCAACAGCACTTTAAATGTTCAGGTCCCAGTCAGGCGCGGTGGCTCACGCCTGTAATCCCAGCACTTTGGGAGGCCGAGGCGGGCAGATCATCTGAGGTCAGGAGTTTGAGACCAGCCTGACCAACATGGAGAAACCCCATCTCTACTAAAAATACAAAATTAGCCGGGCATGGTGGTGCACGCCTGTAGTCCCAGCTACTCAGGAGGCTGAGGCAGAAGAATCGCTTGAACCTGGGAGGCTGAGGTTGCAGTGAGCTGAGATCGCACCACTGCACTCAGCCTGGGCAACAAGAGTGAAACTCCATCTCAAAAATAAATAAATAAATATTCAGGTCCCTATGGTAGATTGATTGATTGATTGATTGCAAAATGTCTCAATTCTTCCCCTCCCTGTATCTGTACATTTTGCAATGTGACTATGTAGCTCCTCCTATCAAGAAGTGGAGTCTGTTTTCCTAACTTTCCACTCTGGGCTATCTTGTGCCTTAATTTTGTCATTAGACAAAGATAAAGTGACGGAGTGCCAGTTATCAGCTTAGGCCTCAAGAGGCCATACAAGCTTTTACTTTCTCTTAGCCTCCTGCCACTACCATGTGAACATGCCAGGCTAGCCTGCCAGAGGATGAGTGACCACATGGAGCAGAGCCAAGTCATCCAGCTGAGGCCATCCTAAAGCAGCCAGCCCTCAGACACTCCATCAGCAGACCAAAATCACATGAGCAAGCACAGCTGAAATCAAGCAAGCACAACTCAGAACTGCAGAACTACCCAGCCAACCAAGAGACATGTGAGAAAATAAGAAATGGCTGTTGTTTTAAGCCATTAAGTTTAGGGGTGGTTTGGTCTGTAGTCCCGTTGGCAAGGTTGGCCCTAAAGCATGTAATCAGTCCCTAGGGTACGCATCTAAGCTGCTTTGCTCTGAATAATGTGCTTCAGGAGATCTTCTCCTTGTGATTTGGCTGTTATGACAGGGGTCTGCAGGAAGAAGACCCACCAGCCAAGCCACACAGTGTCTCAACCACTGCAAATCAATAAGCTGGCATGCAGGTGAACAAGGTCACTGTGACGTGGCCCGGAAAGACAGATCAGGTTTCTGAGGCAGCAATACTAAAAGCCAGATATTGGATGGGGGAAATTCACAGAAGTAAATGTTGCCTTCTGAGGTGGACTCGGGGACACCCAGCCAGACTCTCTGACCTTGACCCAGCCTCACCTCATTCTATTTCACAGAAACTTTGACTAGGTTCTCAGGCATCCAGCCCCATTTCTGGCCATGGAACACACTGCAGTAGCCCTTCTGCACCAAGGACAGCTGAGTGATGAGGCTCTCAAATGCCCAAACCATGTTTTCTCTAGAGGAATAAAGTTTCCAAAGGGCAGAGCAGCAAACTGATCTTTATGTTAAGCCTATAAGATAGAGGCTTTAAATAAATTTGCCATATGATATTATGTAAATGCATTTCATGGTACACTGAAGGTCAGCATATTTCCAGATGATCCCAACACTTTTCCATGATCATAGAAACTCTTCTCATTCTCAAAGAAAAAAGAATATCTAGCAAGGACTGCTGGCCTGTTTGCTAAAGATGACCTTTTCTTTTAGTGTGGGGGAAAGGAAACAAAAAATCATAATACTAAGATTCAAAAGAAGCACAAACACAGTCCTCCATCCGGATGGGAGAAATCTGAATGTTGCGTTCCACAGTGTCCTTAATTCCTGTGCTTCCTGTTGCCTTGCAAAGACCTATGCTTTCTGCTTCCTGCATTCGTTTATGCTCTGAATGACCACAAGTACTTATATCTACCAACCAACCTTCTTCTAAACACAGAGTTTAGGATTTCATCCAGTTCCTTAAACAATAACTCAGCACATACATCATAGTGACAAATAGGAATCCTAAGAGGCAATATCTCAAATACCTGCCGTGTTGCCCCTATGACCTCAGGTCCTACTGCTGTCCCGGGTGTCTGACTCAACAGCAGCTTCCGTGGCCTCCTTTCTGGGTCTCTTGGGAACACACCTCTCTCCTATCTCAGGGTTTTGCAGGTGCTGCCTGCAACCTCTGGCTTCCTCCCTCACTTCCCCAGATGTCTGGTAAAATGTCATTTACCAGAATCCCTGGCTTCCTCCCTCACTTCCCCAGATGTCTGGTCAAATGTCATTTACCAAAAAGCCTTCCCTGGCCAAGCTGTATAAAAATAAATAACAAGCCCCACCCTGCCCTCTGGCAGCACTCCCCAGTCCTCTCAGCCAGCTTTATTTTTCTCCATTACAGTGTCTCATTAGCTGATACACTCTATACTTATTTATTTGTCCATCATCTTACACACACACACATACACACACTCTCTCATTAATTTAAGCTCCTTGAGAGAGGGCTTTTTTGGTTGTTTTTGTCTGTATTCTCCACACATAGAGCAATGGCTGACACATAGTAGGAACTTAATGAATGAACTGCCATTTCTTGAGCACCTACTTTGTGCCAGGCAAGTTATATATGATGATCGGGTAACAATGAGTAAATATTTTAAAGTATCTTTTCTTTAATTATTATAAGAATCCTATTACTGTCTCCATTTTACAGATCAGGAAACTAATGCTCAAAGAGGGGCTGAGTAACTTGCCCAAGACACTCACCTAGGTCTGTTTGAGCATCCACGCTCATGCTTCTTGTAGTGCACGCTGCTTTTCAAATACCTTAATGATGATGTAGGCGCATGTAACACACATCTCTGGCAAATACATAACACAAGAGCTTTTCATTCTATCATTTTTCGTCACCCATCACAGCTTTGGTCCAGGAAGAAACATCCTTGAGATTGGATTTTCATCTCCCAGAAAAGACTGGTAGTAACAGCTTTAGTTTTCCCTTATTCCACCCATTTAGGGAAAATCAAGGGAGAGTTTTCCTTTTGAACTGGGCTGGGACAAGAACAGATAGGTCGGGGACCCAGGGAGAAGCAGACAGAAGTTCATCTGCTCTGAAACTCCCTCAGAATTTTCCAGAGTCCCTGCCTTTGTGAAGTGTTGCTTCAAAACCTTCATAGTCCTGGAATTCAGGAAAAGCATTCATTAAAAAAGGAAAAAATTAAAGTCTGACTTGTATTGTGTGTGCTCCTCTCTGGGTGTCAGCCTGTGTCTACTGGGGTCTAGTCACATACTGCAAATACCAGCCCAGCCGAGACTTGTAAAGCTCTGCCCACCCAGTGGCAGTGATGGCAATGGTGTGGGAGAGTCATGTGGGTCACTCCCGGACCGAAGAACCAAGAGAGCGACCCAGTCCCTGCTGAAATCCACGCCATGCCTAATCCATGAGGGCTTCATTTTTATACTAATCACTGCCACTATCAATTTCCTCCTCCTCTCTGCTCTCACTGCTCTTTTCCAACACCATCATGAACTTATCCACCTCCTGATTACGAGTGCTTCTCCCCCTACCAGGTGTGAACCTCAGGGAGCCAGGACATTGTTATCATCATCTCTGCATCCCCAAGGACTAATCCCATCTCTGACAAATACTAAGTGCTCAGTAAGTATTTGCTGACTCAAGAAAGATGCAGAACGAGCCTGTACCTACTGCACCAACTGGAACAAGCAGAACAAGTCACCTCTTCTGGAAAGGGCAGGAAGCAGAAACACAGAGGAGACCAGCATAGACCAGAACCACCGCTGAGCCGACTACAGTGCCCAGTCCTCCCTCATGCACCCTCCTTACCCCTCACCTGCCACTCTCTGAGCCCCAAAGCCACCCACATTCACCTCCCCAAGGGCTAGAAAGCCAGCAAGCATTCCCCCAGCGTCCCACCCCACCCCACTGGGGCTGCTCTTATCAGAGCCCAAGACACCAACGTTAAGTTACCCTTAAACGGAGTAATTTGCATCTGTAATTTCCGGATAAAGGAGTGTATTTCATCAGCCCTGCTGAACCCTGGACAGCAGAGATTTCTACCACCCGTCTGCCGAAGACACAGCGGTGCCTTGCTCCTCCCTGGCTAAACGCATTTGCTAGCCCATCCCTGCAAAACAAGTCATTTTCTTTCCCTTGCGCTAAAACCCGTCCATAAACAAATCCTTCTGTGTCCCTAAGAAACGGCTCCCACGCCCACGGAGGGCGCCCTGCACATACAGAAATACACACTCACAAACCCCAAGAGCCACCAGGTGTAAGCACGTTTGAATTCTGTTCTTTAAGAACAAGCCAACAACAATAACAAAATCTATCTACTAGAATGTAACTGAAACTAAAAGCAGCGGCTAGGAAGCTTATGGAAACGGAGCTATAAATGCCAGCAGCCTGACATTTATAAGTTGCAAAACTACTTATGGCGCTAATAGTTCAAACAGGGTTTTAAAACAGCCCTTGGGGAGGCCGCTTTCAAAGAAGCGCACAGCTCCAGGCAGCGGGCAAGTCCTTGCTTTTCTGCGCCGGTTTTTCAAGACTCTCCGATCTTTTGTGCCATTTACTATGAACAGCACTCAGCTGTGCGAGCGTGTATATTTCAGCCCAGGCAGGCGAGTCTGGGAGCCCTGGCGCACGCGGGGTCCGCGCCCCGGCTGGGTCGGTTGCACCGCAGCGAGCAACGCAGTCCCCTACCTGGGTGGCAAATCCGCTGGCGGCCGCCTCCGGATGCAGGCAGAGCAGCGTCCGCCCCGGCAGCCCCGCGTGCAGCTCCGGCTAACGCGGAGCTGGGCGATCCGGGCGGAGGCAGGCGCCGGCGGGTGTCACACCTGCATCACCGCGCCCACGCCGCCCCCGCCAGCCGCCCAGGCGCAGCGCGCAGCGCGCCCCCGCGCTACAGAGCACGCGGGGCGGGAGGCTCCTGGGTCCTCTACTCAGCGGGATCAGATCCTAACCCGCTTTCTTCCCGGCCCGGGCATTAAAAGTATTCGCTGCGGGCAGCTCTGCTTCTAAATCTCCTTCTGATCGAAGGCTGGGTGTGGAGATAGCTCAGAGGGAAGGAGGACCAGTGAGGCCGCAAGGTCTCCGGATTTGCAGACCAATAAATATTAAACTTCTTATTCCTCGAGTTTTGTAACCAGCTGATCATGGGCGTCGTCTCGCTGTCTCCACCCCGCCTAGGGCGAGGGGGCGCTGTGGACTCCACATGCCCTTCCACCCACTCCGAACTAGGATGCGTCAGAGGACTAGACGCAAGTTCCCGGGAAGGGGAATCCTCTGATCACGCCGCCCCCAAAGTATCGTCGATCATGGTGCTGTTCGACTGCTTTGTTCTCGTTTGCCTCATCAGGAACTGAAGAGAACCTACCCGGCCAGCGCGGGGAGGAGGAAAGCCTGCAAGGCTTGGTGCATTCAAACAAGCCCTCCACCTCTGTCTCCCTCCTTCCAAACCACCACCCACTAACTCCACTGACGAGAGTTCAGCAAACTAAACTGCCAAGGCTCAGCACCGAAAGACTCTTTAGGAGCATAGGGCTCCTTCTAGGAGCAAGTAAGGAGCAAGGAAAGGACACTGGAAATTCGGATGCGGACTCAAACAGCACAACACTGCAGGTGCCTGGCCCCTCTAGGATCCGAAGCTACGTTCCTTTCCTAACAGGGCTAAAATGAAGGCCAGTTCTGGAAGAGCCTTCCCCCTCTTCTCCATGGAGCACATCCTCCATCATGAGGTCTTCAGCTGGACTCCCCACTCTCGCTGCCGTCAATGACCTGCGCTCCAGCTCCCTGCCTCTTCCCTGGCTGGGGCCTCCGCCGACTCGCACCTGGACCACCCGCAAGGACTTCAACTTCTCAGGCTCCTGGAGTCATTTCTCAACATGTAAATCTGATCTTGACTCTTTCCTACCTAAAACCATGTGATGGCTTCCCAGTGTCCTTGAAAAATCCGAAACATTTTTTTTTTTTTTTTTTTGAGACAGGGTCTGGCTCTGTTGCCCAAGCTGTGGTGCAGTGGCTGGATCACAGCCTCAACCTCCGCAGCTCAAGCAATCCTCCTGCCTCAGCCTCTCAAGTAGCTGGGACTACAGGCATGCGCCACCACTCCTGGCCAATTGTTAAACGTTTTGTAGAGTAGAAGTCTCACTCTGTTCTCCAGGCTGGTCTGGAACTCCTGAGCTCAAGTGATCCGCCTGCCTCAGCCTCCCAAGCTGGGATGCAGGCTCGCGCTACAGCGCCAGCCTAACACATCACATTTAGTGCTGGAAAGCAAACCCTTGCTAACCCCCCACAGCCTCACCCCTCCACCCTCATCTTTTCCCCTGTACTCTGGCCATATGGAACTTCTAATTCCTTGGACGTGCCTCACTCTTTCACCTCTAGGTCTTTGCACATACTGTTCCCTCTGCTTGGAATGTTCTCCTCCTCCCATTCCTCTTACCTCTGCCTAAAGCCTTATTCTCAGCTGAGCCATCTCTTCCTCAAAGAAGTCTTCCCTCATTCCTGAAATACCTGAATTCTCCCTGCTCCATGTGCCCAGAGCTACCATTAGTTCCTCTACTACAGCACCCAACGCCTTACTAAAGTTGTTGTCCGGCTTCCATAAGAGAATGTAAGCTGTAGGAACGCACGCCTCTGTTGTCTGCCTCATATGGACAGGGACCCAGAATATCGTATCTGCTTAATATCTATTGCTACAGCCACCATCCAGATTAAGGTGGCAAACAGTCCTGGCATCAAGGGGTCTCTTTATGCTCTTTCCCAGGCAATACCAGTCACCCTCCACCTAGGTGTAACCACCACTCTGACCCTTTTCAGCAGCAATTAGTATCACCTGCTCTTGAACTACTCATGAATGGAGTCATACAGTATATATATAGTATGTACTCTTTTGGGTGTGGCTTCTTTTACTCAAAATAATGTCTGTGAGATTCTTCCATATCATTACATATATCAGTAGGTCATTTTTTTCTTATTGCTGTATGGTATTCTATTGCCTGAATATAACACAATTTATCCCTTCTTCTATGAGTGTACATTTGAGTTGCTTCCAGATTTTAGCTGTGATGAATAAAGCTGCTATGAACTTGTTTTTTGTTCTTTTTTGGTTTTTTGTTTTGTTTTGTTTTGAGAAGAAGTCTCGCTCTGTCGCCCAGGCTGGAGTGCAGTGGCATGATCTCAGCTCACTGCAACCTCCACCTCCCAGATTCAAACAATTCTCCTGCCTCAGCCTCCCAAGTAGCTGGGATTACAGGCACATGCCACCAAGTCCGGAAAATTTTTGTATTTTTAGTAGAGACGGGGTTTTGAAATGTTGGCCAGGCTGGTGTCAAACTCCTGACCTCAGATATCCACCCACATCAGCCTTCCAAAGTGCTAGGATTACAGGTGTGAGCCATGGCACACAGCCTGTTATGAACATTTGATAGACATATGTGCTCTTTTCTTTTGAATATGAAACTAGGAATAGAGTTGCTGGGTCACAAGGTAAATGCCTGTTTTTGCCTTAGTAAATAGATACAGTACTTTGCCTTAGTAGATACAGTACTACCAAACAGTTTTCCAAAGTGGTTGTGCCAATTTACAGTCCTAGTCCCATCTGCAATATTTGAGAATTCCAGATGTTCTATTTCTTTGCCATAACTTGGCATTATCAGTGCTTTTAATTTTAGCCATTCTTGTGTGTAGTGTAAATTACATTGAAGTTAAAACTTTGATATAGTTTTAATGTGTGTTTCTTGATTATTACTAATGTTGAGCAATTTCTTATGCTTATTGGCCATTTGGATATTCTTTTGTAAAGTTTCAAGTCTTTTGACCAATTTATTGGGTTTTCTGTCTTTTTCTTATTGATCTGTAGGCACTCTCTCTGTTTTAGGTATAAATCCTTGGTTGGATATAGTAATTTTAATATCTTCTCCGTGTTTGGGGCTTATATTTTTATTGTCTTAATTTTAATGACACACAACATTAATTTTTTCTTTTGTGATTAAAAGACAAATGCTTTTGTGTGTTTTGTTTAACAAATCTTTCTTTGTCTCAGGGTTGGGCATCTATTGTCTGGTGTTTCTTTCCTTCTACAAGCCTTTGTTTTACCCTTTACATTTTAGTTTATTTTCTATTTGTGCATGGGATAAGGTAGGCTGAAATTTTACTTTTATTTCAAGATAGCAGTTGCTCCAAAACCACTGTGGAAAAGATCATTCTTTATGAATTAGCTTGCAATAGCATCTTTGTTATAAGTCAAGTGACCATCTATATGTGCATCTATTTCTAGACTCTTCATTCTGTTTCACTGGTCTGTGTACCTATACTTACACCAACACTACACTGTCTTAGTTACCTTTATTATAAGTCTAGAAATCTGATCATGTTTGCCCACCTTTTTTCTTCTTCCAAGTTGTCTTGGTTCTTTCGGGTCCTTAACTTTTCCACAAGAATTTTAGAATCAACTTGTCAAATTATGCACACAATCCCTGGTGGGATTTTGATTGGCATTGCCTTATATCTATAGATCAATTTGGTGAGAATGAACACCTTAGCAATACTGTCCCCCAATAATTTTACATTTTATATCTCTCTACTTATTTTGTCTTCTTTAATGTCACTCAGAAATACTTTCTAGATTTCAATGAATAGATCTTGCCTATGTTTTGTTGTATCATGCTTAAATCTTTGATGTTTTCATTCTATTGTAAATAGTACTATAACTTCATTTTTAATCTTATTGCTAGTATACAAAAATACAATTAATTTTAGATTGACCTTATATCAGTATCAAAATAAAACTTATTTCGATATATTGTTCTTATATTTTATATCCTTTTAATTGCTAAATTCACTTATTAATTTTTACAGCTTGTATAGGCCAGGCGCGGTGGCTCATACCTGTAATCCCAGCACTTTGGGGAGGCCGAGGTGGGCAGATCACAAGGTCAAGAGATTGAGACCATCCTGGCCAACATGGTGAAACCCCGTCTCTACTAAAAATACAAAAATTAGCTGAGTGTGGCAGCACATGCCTGTAGTCCCAGCTACTCAGGAGGCTGAGGCAGGAGAATCACTTGAACCCGGGAGGTGGAGGTTGCAGTGAGCTGAGATCGCACCATGACACTCCAGCCTGGCAACAGAGGAAGACTCCATCTCAAAAAACAAAAACAGAACAAAACAAAAAAGCTTATATATTCTTTGATATTTTTAAGGTACAGAATATATGTGATTAAAGACAATTTCACTTTTTCTTTTCCAATGGTTACATCTTCTACATAAACTTTTTCATGCCTTATTGCTCTAGCTAGGCCCTTTCATAAAAGTGATGACACCGGGCATCATTGTCTAACTCTCAAATTTGGGGAATGGGGCATCTTCATACTGTTATGTATGATGTTAACTGTAAACGTGGTAATAATGAACAGCATGTCTTAGTCATAACTTCAGAGGGAAAGCACTCTTACTAATAAGTATGATGCTAACCATAGGTGTATAGGGGAGGAAAAATAAGTTCCCTTCTACCCTTCTAAAATGTTTGGCTGGGGCTTCTGAAACAAAATACAGATTAACAAGAGAAAACCAAACAAGTTTATTAACATGTATATCTTACATATGCCTGGAGGATACCCAGAAAATAAGTAATTCTCACAGAGATAGCTTCAAACTCCATCTTATACAACATCTTCAACAAAGAATAATAAATTTTTAGAGAAGTGACAAGACAAAAGAAAAGGACTTTGAGTCTCCTACAATTTAGGAAATTGTAGGAAGCCAAATATACAGGAAACTAATGGTAGATAAATGCTAGTTAAGCATGTTATGTAGATGTTCTGCTGCTGTCTCCAGGCTGATAAGGGTCTAAAGTCATTTCTATCTGGTGATTTACTTTTAGCGTTCTTGGTTGAGAGTGGAGGGGAGACTTTCATGTATATGTATGCCCTGGTTTTAGGAAAATAGGGAAAGGACAGAGAGTTTTTCTTGTATCTGCTTTTCCCCAATTGTCTTTAGCTCAAGATAAGCCTTATGCCAAAGTGGCATATTTTGGGGAGATATTTCTAATCTTTATATTTAAAAGCTTCCCTCTTCTGTTAGATTGCTATGAAATATATAATAAATGGGTGTTAAATTTTGTCATTTTTTTGCATCTACTGAGATGACCATATGTATTTTTTTCTTTCATTTGATTAATATAGAAAATTACCTTGAATGACTTTTGAATGTTAAACCAACCTTACATTTCTCAAATAAACCCCATTTTGTCATGGTGTAATATTTTTATTATCATTGCATTTGATTTGATAATATTTTGTTTAATATTAGAGATTAGCATGTAATATTTCTTCTAGTGTCCCTATCACATTTTTTTATTATACTTCAAGTTTTAGGGTACATGTGCACAATGTGCAGGTTTGTTACATATGTATACCTGTGCCATGTTGGTGTGCTGCACCCATTAACTCGTCATTTAACATTAGGTATGTCTCCTACTGCTATCCCTCCCCCCTCCCCCCACCCCACAACAGTCCCCAGTGTGTGATGTTCCCCTTCCTGTGTCCATGTCTTTTCATTGTTCAACTCCCACCTATGAGTGAGAACATGCGGTGTTTGGTTTTTTGTCCTTGCGATAGTTTGCTGAGAATGATGGTTTCCAGTTTCATCCATGTCCCTACAAAGGACATGAACTCATCATTTTTTATGGCTGCATAGTATTCCATGGTGTATATGTGCCACATTTTCTTAATCCAGTCTATCGTTGTTGGACATTTAGGTTGGTTCCAAGTCTTTGTTATTGTGAATAGTGCCGCAATAAACGTACGTGTACATGTGTCTTTATAGCAGCATGATTTATAATCCTTTGGGTATATACCCAGTAATGGGATGGCTGGGTCAAATGGTATTTCTAGTTCTAGATCCTTGAGGAATCGCCACACTGACTTCCACAATGGTTGAACTAGTTTACAGTCCCACCAACAGTGTAAAACTGTTCCTATTTCTCCACATCCTCTCCAGTACCTGTTGCTTCCTGACTTTTTAGTGATTGCCATTCTAACTTGTGTGAGATGGTATCTCATTGTGGTTTTGATTTGCATTTCTCTGATGGCCAGTGATGATGAGCATTTTTTCATGTGTTTTTTGGCTGCATAAATGTCTTCTTTTGAGAAGTGTCTGTTCATGTCCTTCGCCCATTTTTGATGGGATTGTTTTTTTCATGTAAATTTGTTTGAGTTGACTGTAGATTCTGGATATTAGCCCTTTGTCAGATGAGTAGATTGCAAAAATTTTCTCCCATTCTGAAGGTTGCCTGTTCACTCTGATGGTAGTTTCTTTTGCTGTGCAGAAGCTCTTTAGTTTAATTAGATCCCATTTGTCAATTTTGGCTTTTGTTGCCATTGCTTTTGGTGTTTTAGACATGAAGTCCTCACCCATGCCTGTGTCCTGAATGGTATTGCCTAGGTATTCTTCTAGGGTTTTTATGGTTTTAGGTCTAACATTTAAGTCTTTAATCCATCTTGAATTGATTTTTGTATGAGGTGTAAGGAAGGGATCCAATTTCAGCTTTCTACATATGGCTAGCCAGTTTTCCCAGCACCATTTATTAAATAGGGAATCCTTTCCCCATTGCTTGTTTTTGTCAGGTTTGTCAAAGATCAGATAGTTGTAGATATGCGGCATTATTTCTGAGAGCTATGTTATGTTCCATTAGTCTATATCTCTGTTTTGGTACAAGTACCATGCTGTTTTGGTTACTGTAGCCTTGTAGTATAGTGTGAAGTCAGGTAGCGTGATGCCTCCAGCTTTGTTCTTTTGGCTTAGGATTGACTTGGTGATGCAGGCTCTTTTTTGGTTCCGTATGAACTTTAAAGTAGTTTTTTCCAATTCTGTGAAGAAAGTCATTGGTAGCTTGATGGGGATGGCATTGAATCTATAAATTACCTTTGGCAGTATGGCCATTTTCACGATATTGATTCTTCCTACCCATGAGCATGGAATGTTCTTCCATTTGTTTGTATCCTCTTTTATTTCATTGAGCAGTGGTTTGTAGTTCTCCTTGAAGAGGTCCTTCACATCCCTTGTAAGTTGGATTCCTAGGTATTTTATTCTCTTTGAAGCAATTGTGAATGGGAGTTCACTCATGATTTGGCTCTCTGTTTGTCTGTTGTTGGTGTATAAGAATGCTTGTGATTTTTGTACATTGATTTTCTGTCCTGAGACTTTTCTGAAGTTGCTTTTCAGCTTGAGGAGATTTTGGGCTGAGTCGATGGGGTTTTCTAGATATACAATCATGTCATCTGCAAACAGGGACAATTTGACTTTCTCTTTTCCTAATTGAATACCCTTTATTTATTTATCATGCCTGATTGCCCTGGCCAGAACTTCCAACACTATGTTGAATAGGAGTGGTGAGAGAGGGCATCCCTGTGCCGGTTTTCAGAGGGAATGCTTCCAGTTTTTGCCCATTCAGTATGATATTGGCTGTGGGTTTGTCATAGATAGCTCTTATTATTTTGAGATACATCCCATCAATACCTAATTTATTGAGAGTTTTTAGCATGAAGGGTTGTTGAATTTTGTCAAAGGCCTTTTCTGCATCTATTGAGATAATCATGTGGTTTTTGTCTTTGGTTCTGTTTATATGCTGGATTACATTTATTGATTTGTGTATGTTGAACCAGCCTTGCATCCCAGGGATGAAGCCCACTCGATCATGGTGGATAAGCTTTTTGATGTGCTGCTGGATTCGGTTTGCCAATATTTTATTGAGGATTTTTGCATCAATGTTCATCAAGGATATTGGTCTAAAATTCTCTTTTTTGGTTGTGTCTCTGCCAGCCTTTGGTATCAGGATGATGCTGGCCTCATAAAATGAGTTAGGGAGGATTCCGACTTTTTCTATTGATTGGAATCGTTTCAGAAGGATTGGTACCAGCTCCTCTTTGTACCTCTGGTAGAATTCGGCTGTGAATCCATCTGGTCCTGGACTTTTTTTGGTTGGTAAGCTATTGATTATTGCCTCAATTTCAGCTCCTGTTATTGGTCTATTCCGAGATTCAACTTCTTCCTGGTTTAGCCTTGGGAGGATGTATGTGTCGAGGAATTTATCCATTTCTTCTAGATTTTCTAGTTTATTTGCGTAGAGGTGTTTGTAGTATTCTCTGATGGTAGTTTGTATTTCTGTGGGATTGGTGGTGATATCCCCTTTATCATTTTTTATTGTGTCTATTTGATTCTTCTCTCTTTTCTTCTTTATTAGTCTTGCTAGCGGTCTATCAATTTCGTTGATCTTTTCAAAAAACCAGCTCCTGGATTCATTAATTTTTTGAAGGGTTTTTTGTATCTCTATTTCCTTCAGTTCTGCTCTGATCTTAGTTATTTCTTGCCTTCTGCTAGCTTTTGAATGTGTTTGCTCTTGCTTTTCTAGTTCTTTTAATTGTGATGTTAGGGTGTCAATTTTAGATCTTTCCTGCTTTCTCTTGTGGGCATTTAGTGCTATAAATTTCCCTCTACACACTGCTTTGAATGTGTCCCAGAGATTCTGGTATGTTGTGTATTTGTTCTCGTTGGTTTCAAAGAACATCTTTATTTCTGCCTTCATTTCATTATTTACCCAGTAGTCATTCAGGAGCAGGTTGTTCAGTTTCCATGTAGCTGAGCAATTTTGAGTGAGTGTCTTAATCCTGAGTTCCAGTTTGATTGCACTGTGGTCTGAGAGACAGTTTCTTACATTTTCTGTTCTTTTACATTTGCTGAGGAGTGCTTTACTTCCAACTATGTGGTCAATTTTGGAGTAGGTGTGGTGTGGTGCTGAAAAGAATGTATATTCTGTTGATTTAGGGTGGAGAGTTCTGTAGATGTCTATTAGGTCTGCTTGGTGCAGAGCTGAATTCAATTCCTGGGTATCCTTGTTGACTTTCTGTCTCGTTGATCTGTCTAATGTTGACAGTGGGGTGTTAAAGTCTCCCATTACTATTGTGTGGGAGTCTAAGTCTCTTTGTAGGTCACTAAGGACTTGCTTTATGAATCTGGGTGCTCCTGTATTGGGTGCATATATATTTAGGACAGTTATCTCTTCTTGTTGAATTGATCCCTTTACCATTATGTAATGGCCTTCTTTGTCTCTTTTGATCTTTGTTGGTTTAAAGTCTGTTTTATCAGAGACTAGGATTGCAACCCCTGCCTTTTTTTGTTTTCCATTTGCTTGGTAGATCTTCCTCCATCCCTTTATTTTGAGCCTATGTGTGTCTCTGCACGTGAGCTGGGTTTCCTGAATACAGCACACTGATGGGTCTTGACTCTTTACCCAATTTGCCAGTCTGTGTCTTTTAATTGGAGCATTTAGCCCATTTACATTTAAAGTTAATATTGTTATGTGTGAATTTGATCCTGTCATTATGACGTTAGCTGGTTATTTTGCTCATTAGTTGATGCAGTTTCTTCCTAGCCTCGATGGTCTTTACAATTTGGCATGTTTTTGCAGTGGCTGGTACTGGTTGTTCCTTTCCATGTTTAGTGCTTCCTTCAGGAGCTCTTTCAGGGCAGGCCTGGTGGTGACAAAATCTCTCAGCATTTGCTTGTCTGTAAAGTATTTTATTTCTCCTTCACTTATGAAGCTTAGTTTGGCTGGATATGAAATTCTGGGTTGAAAATTCTTTTCTTTAAGAATGTTGAATATTGGTCCCCACTCTCTTCTGGCTTGTAGAGTTTCTGCCGAGAGATCAGCTGTTAGTCTGATGGGCTTCCCTTTGTGGGTAACCCGACCTTTCTCTATCACATTTTTGTATCAGAGTTTACTGGCCTCATAAAATGGGCCAAGAAGTATTCTCTCACTTATCTTTTTTTGGTAGATTAGTATCCTTTCTTTCTTATTTAAAGATTTAAAACTTAAATCAGTATATCTCCTCTATTTGCTTTTTACCTTTCCCTTTTTCTATTTTAATAATATTTGGATACTCTAGAGATTTTACAGTGCAACTCTAACAACTTTAAGTTAACCTTATTACTCTTATTACTTCCCAAACAATGCAAAAACCTTGCAAAAATTAAACTACATTTGTCTCTTCCTGACTTCTGTGCTACTATTTTCATATATTTTACTTAGTTTATAACACTATAAACCCGTTAAAAGTCAATATCCTTCTATATTGAATTGCATATGTCCCATTTATGGTGGTCTTCATTCTTTCCTGAAGTTCTGTGCTTCTGAGATCCTTTTATTTCAGCTAGTACACAGCTCCTTTTAGTATTTCTTGTAGTGCAGGTCCACTAGGGACTAATATTCTCAGCTTTTGTTTGACTTCAGATGTCTCTATTTTACCATTATTTTTGAAGGATATTTTTCACTGTGTATGAATTCATAGATAGAAGTCTCAGCCGGGCACGGTGGCTCACGCCTGTAATCCCAGCACTTCGGGAGGCTGAGGCGGGTGGATCACAAGGCCAGGAGATCGAGGCCATCCTGGCTAACACGGTGAAACCCCATCTCTACTAAAAAATAGAAAAAATTAGCCAGGTGCCTGTAGTCCTAGCTACTTGGGAGGCTGAGGCAGGAGAATGGCATGAACCCAGGAGGTGTAGCTTGCAGTGAGCCGAGATCGCGCCACTGCACTCCAGCCTGGGCGACAGAGCAAGACTCTGTCTCAAAAAAAAAAAAAGAAATAAAAATACATAAGCTTAGAGTGGTCAAGTGATTTTAAGGCCAGACAACCAGTAAGTGATGGGGACGAGAGTCCAAATCATGGTATAGTTCTGAAGCCTGACCTCTTTCCACAAAATTATCCTTCTCCTATTCACATAGGCTTGGTTCCTCCTCAGTTTGGTTCCAACTTAACTGTCCTGTCTTATCCCTCCTCATTTCCATTCCCACTCCTTCCATTCTAGCCACATTGCTCTATTCTCTCAAATGCTCTGCGCTTATTTTCTGTTCTGTGTCTTTACACACACTTCCTCATTCTAGTACTGTTTTTGATCCTCAACCCTGGAAAAGGCCAATTTATCCTTCAAATTTCTACTCAGATTCCATATCCTCCAATAAACATGCTCAGACCACCCTCTTCTGTCCCCCAGTTCCTCATAGCAATCTCTCCCTTCCAGATATTTATGTATTCTCTGTACTACTTGTTCATTCATTTAACAGACCTTTATTCACTTCAGGCACTGGAAACACAAAAATGACTAGAAGTGAAATCCTGTAACAGACACATTGAGCACTTGCTATGCACCAGGCACTGTTCTGAACCACTTATACATTCTACGTGTTTAATCTCCACAGCAACACTCTAAAGTAAGTACCTTTTTCCCAATCTAAAAACAAAGAAAAAAAAATAAAGAAAATAAAGTCAATACCTTTTTTACTTATGAAACTACTGATGTACAATGAGGTTAAACAAGCTTCCCAATGTCACACAGCTAGGAAGTTGGGCAAATGGGCTCCAGTGCCCATACTTTCAAAACCACTACCTCACATAAGTTCAGATGAAGCACAGAGAAGATAAGCCTGCCTCACAGAAGTCTTCACAGAACAGGTGATGTTTTAAGGGTGTCTTGAAGAAAGATGAAAGAAGAAATCAGGAATAGAAGAGTGCAATGGACATTGTGGTTGATTCCCCAGCATGCAATCCAGTCTCTCTCAGCAACTGTGAACTTTAAAAAAGTTTAGAAAAGATATGAACCTCATGAATGGTTCGTGACTGACCTAAAATTAACCATCTCAGTAATTGCAGTAATTCCAGTAAGTAATTTCAGTGCCCCTTGGCTAAAATTCAAGATGAGATTTGGGTGGAGACACAGGCAAACCATATTATGGGGCTATTTGCTTCCTCTTTCACATCCAGGAGAAGAGGAAGAGTGCCTCCAAGAGTAGTTCTTCCTTCAGCATGATCTCATGGACTTTTTGGGACCAATTTTTGTAGGTTTGCTTGTGCACAAGGGTCCAGCTGGTCCCCCACTTGTTTCCTAGAAGACACATCTGCTAGCAGAAGAGCCCTGGAGCAGAAAGTGAAAACTACGCTGTGCAGCTGAGGCAAGGTGCTGATGCACCTGGGCAGAGCTGATTCCTGCACCAATTGCTAGATTAAAGGTAGACTGAGGGGCTATGAGGCAGGGCACAGAAGGTGCCCTGTAGTACTGGATGTCAAAGAAAGAAAAATCACCTGCAAGCTCAAGGCCATCATTCAGTTGCTAGAATCAGGCTACCTCTGTACTTCCAGTAATGTAAGCAGCAATTCCTCATTGTTGAAGCAACCTCTTTCTTTTTAATTCCCCCTTTAATAAAAGGAGACTGCAAGACCGAAAAAAAGTATGAATTGTAGCATGGCAAGTAACAGCAGAAAGGCAGTCAGAGATATAGAGTTTGTTGTCCTCATTCGTTTTGAAGCCTTAATGGTAACACATCATTCATATTCAGAAATGGCTTTTTATTTATGTAAAATAAAGCATGCTGCCTTTTTTGTAACCTGAAGCCAAAATCATGTCAATTCTTATAGTAGTTATTTCATACAGAAGAAATAACCTGCAAAATCAAGTAAGAAATTCATTAATCAACTCAGCCTTCCATTCAACAAATTTGAGGTACCTCTCATGTACCAGTCAATGTTGTTTTCACCGGAGATACAGCAGGGAACCAGATAAAACTGCCCACCATCAAGGAGCTTACAGTCTAGTGGGGAGAAACAGACAGTAAGCAAGTAAATATCCAGGGGAGGGAGAAAGCTAATGCTGACTTTGTATTTTAATGGATCGTTTTGGCTTCTGTATCAGGAATAGACTCTAAGGGGCAGGGGTGGAAGCAAGGAAACCAACTGAGAGACTCACATAGCGATTCAGGCTAGAAATGATGGTGGCCTGGACCAGGTGGAAAGAGTGAAGGTGGGCCAGGCATGGTGGCTCATGCCTGTAATCCCAACACTTTGGGAGGCCAAGGCAGGTGGATTACTTGAGGTCAGGAGTTCAAGACTAGCCTGGCCAACATGGTGAAACCCCGTCTCTACTAAAAATACAAAAATTAGCCGGGCACGGTGGTGGGTGCCTGTAATCCCAGCTACTCAGGAGGTTGAGGTAGAGGAATTAATTGAACCCAGGAAACAGAATTTGCAGTGAGCTGAGACACGCCACTGCACTCCAGCCTGGGTGACAGAGCGAGACCTAGTCTCAAAAAAAAAAAGAGAGAGAAGGTGGTAAGAGGTGTTCATCCCCATCCCCTTTATTATGCATATGAGTAAAATTTTGAGGAGGAAAATGTCTGAGAGAGAAAAGGGGGATCCAGAAGGAGATGGGGAAGAGAATGAAATAGAAAAAGTCATTGGATAGGTGTTGAGAGGGGCATTTGATTGGGGAGCAGTTGCAAAGTGTGAAAGAGACAGGTAGAAATTGAAAGAAATATAAGTTATGAATTGAATCCACTTTAATGTTAATCAATTGTCAAGTAAAGATTGGAATTACTTTTAATGACCTTCAGTTGTGTTTCTGAGACACCTTTCTTGAAATACACCACCATGCAAAGATGGGACCATATGGGACTCAGTATACATAAGTTACACAGGTTTACATTGCATGAAACTTATAATGTTTAACACATTTGAAAGTGATTTTAAAATATTTTTGCTCATTGATTTTTTTTTTAGTATTTTGCTCTGACGTATACTAAGTACCAACTCCTGCAAAGAAAATTAAATAGATGGCAATTTAGGTATGAATTGAATAAGCATCGTGATCAGAGTCTCAGCAGATAGAATGTAGTTTAGAAATTAATTTAGCTAAGTTTGGACTTCTCACATTCATCATTTCATAATTCATATTTTTTAATTTGTACAGTTCAGTGCACAAGCCCATTTTCTTTTCCTGAAAGAAGAGGTTTGGTTCTTAAGGAACCCTGTGGTTTAATAAGGAAAAGTGTGTGAAGTAAAGTATAAACAACATGTGATTCTGAAGGCAAGTTTTTGTGGCTGGGTTTGCCTCTTTTCCAGACTCAGTGGAATGATGAAGTAGAAGCAAAACTGGATGACCAGTTGGGCAGGGAGCACTGGATGACCTCCTTGTTCAAAAATATTGGGGACAACAAATTCTGCCTTTCAAATGCAGGTGCACTCAGAGTGTGAACTCCATCACACCTCTGTGTGAACACAGTGGTGCCTCAGTTATTGAAGACAGGGGGCAATGGAGCACTAACAAACAACAGTAGGGGAAGTCCTAAAGACCTAGATTCAGGGAACCTGGGTTCTGGCCACATCTCTGCTACTATCCATGTGGCTCTAAGAAAGTCACATTACTTCAATAAATGGTATTGAGAAAACTGAATGTCTGCATGCAAAAGAATAAAGTTCAACCCTTACCTTACTGTATACAAAGAGGAACTCAAAATAGATCAAAGATCTAAACATAAGAGCTAAAACTATAAAACTCTTAGAGAAAACAATGGAAAACGCTTCATGATATTAAATTTCACAATGATTCCTCGTATATATAACACCAAAAGCACAGGCAACAAAATAAAGATAAATTGCTCTACATCAAAATTAAAAGCTTCTGTTCATCAAAATACACAATCAACACAGTGAACAGGCATCTCACTAAATGAGAGAAAATATTTTCAAACTATATATCTCATGAAGGGTCAATAGAAGAACTATATAAAGAACTCCTACAACAACAACAAAAAAAAACAGGCAAAGGGTTTAAATAGACATTTTTCCAAAGAAGATATACAAATGCCAATAAGCCCATGAAAAGATGCTCCACATCACTAATGATTAGAGAGATGAAAATCAAAACCAAAGTGAGATAGCACCTCACATCTATTAGGATAGCTGCTTATTAAAAAAAAAAAAAGCACAAATATGCACAGAAAATAACAAGTGCTGGCAAGGATTTGGAGAAACTGGAGCTTGTATGCATACTTGGTAAGAAGCTTTGTATACTGTTGTTTGGTAAATGGTGCAGCCACTGCGGAAAACAGTGTAGTGGATCCTCAAAAAACTACAATTAGAATTATCATACGATCCGTTATCTACATGATATGCTTATAGGTATGTAAAAAAATTGGAAGAAGGGACTTGAGATATTTTTAGATTCGTATTTATAGCAGCATTATTCTCAATAACAAACAGGTAGAAGTGTCCAAGTTTTCATCAACAGAGGAAGAGATAAACAAAATGTGGTATATGGTATATACATATAGTATATATATACACATACATATATATATACATATGATGGGATATTACTCAGCTTTAGAAAGAAAGAAAATTCTCACAGAGGCTACAACATGAAAGAACATTAAAGACATTAAGCAAAGTGAAATGTCAGTCACAAAAGGGCAAATACTATATGATTCCACCTATATAAGGTACCTAGTGTAGTTGAATTCAGAGACAAAAAGAAGAATGTTGGTAGCCAGGGGCTAATGGGAGGGAGAAAGAGGTTATTGCTTAATGGGTACAGAGTTTCAGTTTTGCAAAACCAAAAGAACTGTGGAAATAGATGATGGTGGTCCCACAACAATGTGAGTGTGCTTAATGCCACTGAACTGTGTACCTGAGAATAATTAGTGTAGTAAATTTTATGTCATATGTAGTTTACAATTAATTTTTTTTTTTTTTGAGACAGAGTCTTGCTCTGTCTCCCAGGCTGGAGTGCAATGGTGCAATCTCGGCTCACTGCAACCTCCGCCCCCCGGGTTCAAGCCATTCTCCTGCCTCAGCCTCCCAAGTAGCTGGGATTACAGGCGCCTGCCACCATGCCCAGCTAATTTTTGTATTTTTTAGTAGAGATGGGGTTTCACCATGTTGGCCAGGCTGGTCTCGAACTCCTGACGTCAGGTGATCCACCCGCCTCGGCCTCCCAAAGTGCTGGGATTACAGGTGTGAGCCACCATGCCCAGCCTACAATTAAAATTTTTTTTTTTAGATGAAGTCTCGCTCTTGCCCCCCAGGCTGGAGTGCAATGGTGCCATCTCGGCTCTTTGCAACCTCTGCTTCCCAGGTTCAAGTGATTCTGCTGCCTCAGCCTCCCCAGTAGCTGGGATTACAGGCATCTGCCACCATGCCCAGGTAATTTTTATATTTTAAGTAGAGATGGGGTTTCAGCATGTTGGCCAGGCTGGTCTTGAACTGCTGACCTCAGGTGATCCGCCCGCCTCGGCCTCCCAAATTGCTGGTATTACAGGCGTGAGCCACCACACCGGGCCAGTTAAAATTTTTTAAGATAATAAATAGAAAATGCATTCACAGTGTAGGATACACAAAAAGTATTCCAAAAGTAATGAACTTTATATTTGTTATTATTTTACTACGTTTTCATGAATGGAGGACCAAGATGTTCCTATTATGTTGAGTTCCTCTCTAGGCAAAAAAACACATCATGGGATAAAATCATCAGAATTTTTAGAAATGCCTGAGAAATTATTCAGTCCCACTACCCTGGGAAATTTACAATCCCTTGCCAACTCTTTGAGGGCCATGTCTAAAATCCAAGGTTTGGATGTTTCAGTTAAATCTGTCAGTACTTTCACCCCTCATAGTCCTCCAATCTACTTCAATAGTTTGTAAATTACATACTGCAATTTTAGGTTCTTCAGGCAAAGGGGCATGCTGAGTGGTTTGAGCTCTGGATGCTTCTGTACACACACACACACACACACACACACACACACACACACACACACCTTCCTTCAAGCAGAGGTGCTACACTTATTTTTGTTTTACATACTTGATTGTGTTCAAGATTTACTTTTTTTTTAAAGTCCTTCTAATAGAAAAATTGAAAGCTATATTTCTTTTTTATAAAGCCAAGTAAGTGAATTTTTCGGGTAAATAACGTTTACCCCCTTTAAGTCACAAAACTTATTTTAAATTCTCACTATGTTTGATACAAAGCCTACACAAGCTGACTCTGTCTTTTTTTCTAAAATAGGATTTCTTGAGCACAGTCCAATTAGTAAGGCTTGGCTTTGCCAGAGATTGGCATGTGATGGACTCTATACTACATGTATAAGTTTCTGTTTGCTATTCAAGAAAAATACGATACTTTGAGACCAAAATGAATCTAATAACTAAGAAGTAGGTTGGTCCCTCCTATCAAACAGCTTTTGGGTTTTCCTATGTCAATGCACCTGAATCTTCATTTGCCACCCAGTATCAATTCAGGTTCCACACCACCAGCTCCACACACGTTGTTACCTCTATTTAGGACACCTGCTCTTCCTTTCCTACACCGAGTCTTCATCTGGCCGAATTCTTGTCATTGCTAAAAACTCAGCCCAGCTCTTGCCACCTAAAAAGCCACCAAAGCTGGGTAAAATGCTTCTCCTCTCATCTCCCAAACACTCTGTCCATATGTATACCATGTACATGCATGTACCCCATAGCACTTCCCAACTCTTATTATTATTGTCTATTTGTCAGTCTTTTTCTTATGTAGGTATATGCCCCTCAAGCCAAAGTCTGCATTCTATTTATCTCTGTAACCACAATGCAGGTGACAGGGCTGGAGTACTTAATATGTATTATTTAACTGAACTAAAATAATTTTATGTCAACTTAAAGGTTCACAGATGATCAACACTTTTTTAATTACCAACTTCTCTTGACTTCACAGGTAGTATTCTGCTATACTTCGTCTCTTAGTTATATCAGATAATTTGAATATCAACTGCTGTTAACAAGATTATTTAATGACATAGAAAAATACAAATGGAAATTAAGACAAAAATCTAAATACAAAGCTGTGCAAACTTAATCAAAATTTTACGAAAGCAACTACAAGACCGGATGCGGTGGCTCACGCCTATAATCCCAGCACTTTGGGAGGCTGAGGCGGGTGGATCACAAGGTCAGGAGATCAAGACCATCCTGGCTAACATGGTGAAACCCCCGTCTCTACTAAAAATACAAAAAATTAGCCAGGCGTGGTGGCAGGCACCTGTAGTCCCAGCTACTCGGGAGGCTGAGGAAGGAGAATGGCGTGAACCCAGGAGGTAAAGCTTGCAGTGAGCCGAGATCCTGCCACTGCGCTCCAGCCTGGGAGAAAGAGCAAGACTCTGTCTCAAAAAAAAAAAAAAGCAACTACATATATTGTATTTATATGTATGTAGGACATACTTGCATACACTGTATACATATATGTATATTACTGTGTATGCAAATAAGTCCTACATACATATAAAAAACTATAATATATATCTGCTTTCATATATAGATGCACATGGAAATGCACTGAAATAGTTAATAGCATCTAAATCTTTTAGGGATGTCTACAGGCATTTTTAAAAATATCTCTTAAAAAATTCCAGTCTGACATATGTTTGGAAGTTGCCACTTCATCCTAACAATAAGAAAAAACCTGAACAAACTGAAAAATCAACAACTCTTTTTAGGTGAATCAGAGAAGTGAGGTCACAGAGCAAACCATTGACCCCAAAATTGGAGAGATGAACAGGCAGATATGGAGAATCATAACATACTGGAGCAGAAAACCCCATGGGAACCAGTACTCGGGTAGAAAAACCCGACTTGGCCGGGCACAGTGGCCATGCCTATAATCCCAGCACTTTGGGAGGCCGAGGTGAGAGCATCACTTGAGGTCAGGAGTTCAAGACCAGCCTGGCAAACATGGTGAAACCCGTCTCTACTAAAAATATAAAAATTAGCTGGGCATGGTGGCTTGCACCTGTAGTCCCAGCTACTCAGGAGGCTGAGGCAGGAGAATCACTTGAACCCAGGAGGTGGAGGTTGCCGAGATCACACCACTGCACTCCAGCTTGGGCAACAGAGTGAAACCCTGTCAAGATAGAAAGAAAGAGAGAGAGAGAAAGGAAGGAAGGAAGGAAGGAAGTAGGGAAGGAGGGAGGGAGGGAAGGAAGGAAGGAAGGAAGGAAGGAAGGAAGGAAGGAAGGAAGGAAGGAGGGAGGGAGGCAGGGAGGGAGGGTGGGAGGGAAGGAAGGAAGGGAGGGAGGGAGTGCAGGAAGGAAGGAAGGAAGGAAGGAAGGAAGGGAGGGAAGGAAGGAAGGAAAAGAAAGGGACCTAACCTATAAATGACAAATTGCTGGAGGCTCAGTATGAACAAGTCTGTCACACCAAAACTCCAGGGAGATGTAGTTATTGAGGGGCTTTCGTTAGTTTTAAGTCCAGGAGCTCAACCAGGTTCCCACAATGAAGACTGAAGAAAAATCTTATGTTTCCAGCAGGGGAAAGAGAAGAGAGGAAAAGTGGTTACTCTGAAGTACACCAAAGCATTATTTTCTTCTGAACAAGGTCTGCCTTCAAAAGAAACTATTAATATTTTAGGGTCACACCTGTAATCCCCACACTTGGGAGGCTGAGACAGGAGGACTCCTTGAGCCTGGGCAAGAAAGCGAGACCCTCATTTCTATTTTTAAAAAAAATTAAAAATTCATCAGGTTTGGCTGGGCACAGTGGCTCATGCCTGTAATCCAAACACTTTGAGAGGTCAAGGTGGGAAGTTTGCTTGAAACCAGGAGTTCAAGGCCAACCTGTCCAATATAGTGAGATTCTGTCTCATAAAGTGAGAGAGAGAGAGAGAGCAAGAGAGAGAGAGAGCAATACTATTTTACCAGAGCATAATTTATTGGGGTTTTGTCAGAGCCTAACCAACCTAGGGGAAGTGATATATCTGACTCCAGTCCCTTCCACCCATCCTGTCCTACCTAAAGCAGGGTGGAGCGGGAGGGGGGGAATTTAAAGGCACCTGTGAAGTGCATAGTCAAGGGACACAAGCTCACTAAAACCCCTCATCATAGGACTATAGAATGTTTCCCCTCCCCTACTCCTTATCACCGCATCACTAAACGTCTATTTACCAGAGTTCCTTTCTACAGTACATAATGTCTAGCTTTTAACAAAAAGTGAAAGGCATACTGAAAGAAAAATAACAGTTTGAAGAAATAGAGCTGAGATGCCGGAATTATCAGATCATGAATTTAAAACAACTATAATTAACACGGTAAGGACTCCAGTGGAAAAAAGTAAACATGCAAGAACAGATGGGCAATGTAAGTAGAGAGATGAAAATTCTAAGGTCAAAAAGAAATGCAATATATCAAAAAACACTGTAAGAGAAATGAAGAAAGCCTTTGGATGGGCTCATTAGATTAGACATGGCTGGGGAAATTATCTCCAAGCTTGAGGATATGTCCATAGAAACATCTAAAACTAAAAAGCAAAGAGAAAAAATACTGAAAAATAGAATAGAATATCCAAGAACTGTGAGACAAATACAGAAGGTGTAACATAAATATTGTGAATATCAGGAAAAGAAGAAATAGAGAAAAAAACAGAAGAAATATTTAAAGCAATAATAACAGAATTTCCCAAAAAATAAATGTGAGACACCAAATCGCAGATCCACGAGATTTAAAGAACACCAGGAAGAATAAATACAAAAAAATTACACTGAAGCATATTATTTTCAAACTACAGAAAATCAAAAATAAAGAAAAAATTCTGGAAAAAAAATACAGGACAAAAATACCTTACCTGTAGAGGAGCAAAGATAAGAATTACATCTGAATTCTCAGAAACATTGTAGGCAAGAGGAAAATAGAGTGGAATATTTAAAGTGTTTAGAGAAAAAAGCCTCAACTAGAATTCTTTATCCTGTGAAAGTATATTTCAAAAGTGGAGAAATAATTTCTTAGACAAACAAACATTGAGGGAATTTATTGCCAGTAGACCTTCCTTTCAAGGAATATTTTTAAAAACTTCTTCAGAGAGAAGAAAATTGATAAAGTCCAGAAACTCAAATCTACATAAAGAAAGGAAGAACATTTGAAAAGGAATAAGTAAAAGAAAATAAAAACTTTTATGTTTCTTATTCCTGATTGGTATAACAGAGAATGGTTTGTTCAAAATAACAATAGCAATAATATATTTGATTATGTATGTTCATGTGCATGTAAATATATACAGACTGTCCATGATGTCTGATGGTTCAACTTATAACTTTTTTGACTTTACAATGGTATGAAAGGAATGCACATTCAGTAGAAACTGTACCTCTAGTACCCATCCAATCGTTGTTTTTCACTTTCAGTACAGTTTTTAACAAATTATATGAGATATTCAACACTTTATTATAAAACAGACTTTCTGTTAGATGATTTTGCCTATATGTAGGCTAATGTAAGTGTTCTGAGCACATAGGCTAGGCTAAGCTATGATGTTTGTCAGCCTAGGTATATTAAATCCATCTTTCCCTTGTGATATTTTCAATTTATTAGGCTGTAACCCCAATGTAAGTTGAAGAGCATCCATATACACTTACGTGTGCTTATGTATATATGAAATGAATAATAGCAATGATATAAGGGGTGAGAAGAAGGAATTAGGCTTATTTGTTTTTATAAGGTATTTGCACTACTTGTGAAGTGGTATGGTATTATTTGAAGGTAGATTGAATTAGTTGTAACTGTATATTGCAAATTGTATCTAGAACAACCACTAAAAAGTTTTAAAAGTATACTTGATATGCTAAGAAAGAAGAAAAAATTGAGAAAATTTATATAATGGTCAATTAAAACCACAAATGGCCTAAAAAGAGTGGAAGGCAAAAGTGAAATAAAGAAAAAGGCAACAATAGAAAACAGTAATAAGTATGATAGATATCAACACAACTAAATTAATAATCACTTTAGACATTAATGGCCTAAATCTACCACTTAAAAGACAAATTGTCAGCGTGGACCAAAAAACAAGAGCCAACCATATATTTCCCACAAGAAACTCACTTTAAACATAAACATATATATTAAAAGTAAAGGGATGAAGCCAAGCACAGTGGCTAACGCCTGTAATCCCAACACTTCAGTAGGCCAAGATGGGCAGATCACCTGAGGTCAGGAGTTCGAGACCAGCCTGGCCAATATGGTGAAACCCCGTCTCTACTAAAAATACAAAAAGTAGCCAGGCGTGGTGGCAGGCGCCTGTAATCCCAGCCATTCAGGAAGCTGAGGCAGGAGAATCACTTGAACCCAGGAGGCGGAGGTTGCAGTGAGCCGAGATCGTGCCATTGCACTCCAGGCTGGGTGACAAGAGTGAGACTCCATCTCAAAAAAAAAAGTAAAAGGATGAATAGGCAAAGCACAGAGTTTTTAGGGTAACAAAACTATTCTGTTATGATATTATAGTGGTAGACACATGTCATTATACATTTTCAAAACCCTTAGAAAGTACAACACCAAAAGTGAACTCTAATGAAAACCATGGAGTTGGTAGATAACTAGGTATCAACGTAGTATTAAATAAAATTTCTTTTTGCTTTTTCTTGGTTTTTTTTTTTTTTTTTTTGAGACGGAGTCTTGCTCTGTCGCCAGGGCTGGAGTGCAATGGCGCAATCTCTGGCTCACTGCAATTCCTCTACCTCCTGGGTTCCAGCAATTCTCCTGCCCCAGCCTCCCAAGTAGCTGGGACTACAGGCATGCGCCACCACACCCAGCTAATTTTTGTATTTTTAGTAGAGACAGGGTTTCACCACGATAGCCAGGCTTGTCTCAAACTCTCTACCTCAGGCAATCCGCCCGCCTCAGCCTCCCAAAGTGCTGGGATTACAGGCATGAGCCACCGTGCCCAGCCGTGTTAAATAAAATTTCTAAGAGGCCATTGATGGAGATCCTGCACAGGCCCCAGCAGGACAACCTGAAAGGGAGTCACTCATGCTAAGTTTTCATATTACCAAACTAAAACATAAGCTGTTTACTTTTAAGATCTGGCCTTCTGAGAAATCAGGAGAGATGTGATAGCCAAATCCCCAAACAGGCAAGTTTTAGCCAGCATAAGTAAGCTACCTCTGCATTAACTCATACAAGGAAAGTAGCCTGAAGTAACCTGATGTTAACCAATCTGCTTTTTGCACTGTGCTACTTCCTTGTTCCTGCTCAACCTACCTTGCAAAAACCATGCCATGTCTAGCCTAGTGCCTTTCTATTTCATAAATGAGATGCTGCACAATTCATGAATCACAAATAAAAGCCAATTCAATCATTAAACTCAATTTGTTGAAATTTTGTTTTTTAACAGTAACTTCATTGACTGTAACAAATATACCATCCTCATGTGAAATATTGATAGTGGAGGAGGCTGTGCATGTGTAGGGGGAGGGGGCATGTGGGAACTTTTCACTCAATTTTTCTATGAACCTAAAACTATGCTTTAAAATAATGTCTATTCAGGCCAGGCACAGTGGCTCACACCTATAATCTCAGGTGTTTCAGAAAGCTGAGGCAGGAAGATTGTCAATAATTGAAGACCAGCCTGGACTACATAGCAAGACCTCATCTCTGTGAAAAACAAAAATTAGCTGGGCATGATGACACACACCTCAAGTCCCAGCTACTCAAGAAGCTAAGGTGGGAGGATCAGTTGAGCCCAGGAGTTCAAGGCTGCAGTGAGCCAAGATTATAATACTGCACTCCAGCCTGGGTGACAGAGCAAGACCCTGTCTCAAAAAATAAATATAAAAACAGAAATAAAATAAAAATAATATTAAAATTAAATGGGAAATTTTAAATTTAATCTTTCTACATTCTCCAAATTTTTTAGAATAAATATGTATTCCTTCTAGGTAAGCAGAGACAAAATGTGTTAAAATTTTACCATTTCCCTCTCCCTACTGCCAAAGAGGGAGATAAATCAAAGTAATCTATTGGGCTACTTCAAACATTATACTTCCAAATCTTGAGTTGTTGGATGAATAAGACACTCTCTTTCTCTGGAACCAATTGAATTTGTTCTACAGTAAATATATAGAGAAGGGATTGTGACCATCTCTGATTAGCATCTTCCTCAGGTATCTGCTCCTAGTCCCCCCACCACTGTAACCCAAAGGATAGTAAGTGTGACTTTGTGGCACTGCTATGCATAATTTACAGGATATTGATTAGGAAGGGACTGATGCTTACTAAATGTTTGCAGCAGAGTCACTAACAAGGCATTAATATTTCATGGTTTTTCTGTTCATGTGTGAGGACAACTCAGACTGGACTTCCTGTCTGAGGCAGAAGAGGAAGGACAAAGGCTCCTGGGAACTGCAGTCTCCTCTGAAATGCTGAGCTCAAAGCAGGACCTCATTTCATATATGCAAGTCATCATAGACTCTGAGATATGGGTTAGATACCAAGATGTGTATTTAGCCAGGAAGCATGTTTCCATGGCAATTTTATATTCCTATGTTTGCCTTTCTTTCTCCAACCAGTGTGTTAATTCGATTCAGAGCCTCTGCAGGCCTTGCCCATCTGCAAAGCAGGTGGGGCCTCAGCTGCTTCAACAGCTGCCAATAATCCTAGAAAATTAAGCCAAAACCCAGACAATCATGATCACCATGGTTATCTTGTGATCGCCTGCCATATTTTAAGCATTTTTTTTTTAATTCAGAGACAGTCACAAAGATTTAGGACAATGAAGGTCATTGTTGCATTATTAGTAGCAGCAAAATACTAGAAATCATTTTAAAGTCCAACAAGAGGGGATTTTTAAAGTAAATCATGGTACCTTTCACGTGATGGGATATTCTGAAACCATTAAAATCACTCTGGGAGACTATTTCATCATGAGGGTAAAGTACATGATAGAATATAAAGTGGAAAAACAGGGTCTCCAAATAGGCCATACAGTATGATCCCAATTTGGAATGTCTAAAAGGTGAGGTGTGTGCTCCAGAGAGCTGATTTCACACAGTTCCACCAAAGTACCAAAGCTGGCTCTTTCCTTGTGACCTCACCACTGCCCATCCAGGTAGTGTATGGGCTCACAAGTGTACTTGACCTTTCAAGAGAGGCACTGGCCACACAAAGTAATTTGCAGCAGCATCTCAGGGAACGGAGGGCCAACACTTGTGTCAGTTGGTCCATGTGCCAGAGACTCACTGGCTGGCCTCCATGGGCACTCCTAGCACAGTGGCAGGGAGGGAACTGCAGACTTAGTTCCCCAGCACCAGTAATACAAACGCTTACCTACACTGGGCAAGCGGGCAATGGGGCCTGTGGCAGCTCCCCTGGGGCTCTCATTGCCAGCAACAGATGGTGCTCACTCAGTCAGAGGCAACTCAGTACTGGTCCCCTCAGGTGGGTCTACATAGTTCCCCTTAAACCCACCAATTTCTTTCTCTAGGCAAGTGTTCTGTGCCTTCCATTCCCCCCACATGACTTTCCCCATAAGGAGATTCTTCATCTCCCCTAGGAGATGGGGACCTGGCTCCACTTTCCTTCTTGTTTTGTTTTGGTTTCGTTTGGTTTCTTGTTTTTGTTTTGTTGTTGTTGTTGTTGTCGTTGTTGTTTTTGAGACAGAGCCTTGCTCTTGTTGCCCAGGCTGTAGTGCAGTGGCGTGATCTCAGCTCTCTGCAATGTCCACCTCCAAGGTTCAAGTGATTCTCACACCTCAGCCTCATGAGTAGCTGGGACTACAGGCACGCGCCACCACACTCGGCTAAGTTTTTTTGTATTTTTAGTAGAGACAGAGTTTCACCATGTTGGTCAGGCTGGTCTCAAACTCCTGACCTCAAGCGATCCACCCACCTCGGCCTCCCAAAGTGCTGGGATTACAGGCGTAAGCCACCGCGCCTGGCCTTCCCTTCTTGTTTACCTCATTCAATTTTATGCACTTAATTATTCAGGACATGGACTTTCAGAATATTCACATCCCAGAGCTTGACTTTCAACGCTTTTAATTCTGATATAAGCACCAAAAGGCAATGTTGAACCTTTAAGAAGTGATGGGGTGGGCCTACGGGTGGGACTGTTAGAAATGCCACAGGACAGAGCACAAGGGAATGAGGTAGGGGGCGAGGACCTAGGATAGGATCTCAAAGTTGTATCCTACCACATAAATATTTGCATAGAATTAAGTATTGAAGAGACATACACCCTTAATAATCATTACAATTATCTCCATATAGAGGGATGAGGGATGACTTTTATCTTCTGCTATATTTTTTCAAATTTTCTGCTATGAACATATATTACAATAGAAATGTATTTTATGCCAGGATTCATTTCCAATGACAGTTTGTAATGTGAAAAATTATGTATAGTCAATGTCAAATTCATTTAATTGTCTACTATATATGGTACTCAGACACATATTTAATCAACCCAACCAGTAATTCCTGTTGCACTGGAACAGATAGCTGTTTCTTTAGCTAAGCACTAGATGAGGTAGTCAGCTTGCATTTAAAGTTCATGCTGTATGAAAAATAAGCATCTTTAAACCCTGGAATCACATACATTTAGCTGACTTTGCTTACGTTGAGTACATTTATAATGCAATTGCCCTGTACCCATAAAATCAGAAAAAGAAGCTATATTAAAAATGCATTACACAAAAAAAAACTATTGAAGGAAATAACTTCAATACCCAACAACAAAAAAGACCCTGGGTCTTTCAGAGTGGCTCATGCCTATAATCCTGCACTTTGGGAGGCCAAGGCGGGAGGACCACTTGAGTCCAGGAGTTCGAGGCTGCAGTAAGCCCTGATCATGATCATGACACTACTCTCCACCTTGGATGACAGAGCAAAACCTGTCAAAAAAAACCAAAAACAAAACAAAAAAACACAACAACAGAAAAAAAACCTGATTACTCAAGAAGCTATGTAATCCTTTTTAATTCCCAAAAAATAATGCCCTGCTATTTGCCAACTATGACACTTACTAGATATAAATCAAATAAATCATTCTCCTGATCTGCAGGGCATAACTGGACAGAGTAAATACTCAATGAATACTATTCACAGTTAGTCTGGATGTACAGGGACTTACTGGAACTGGCCAGCCTGGCTAGGATGGAACTAGTCAGATAACCATGCAGAGCATATGTAAATATCAGATCACAGAATTTCAGCGATGGACAAGACAAGACAGAGAGGATCTGAGCCAAGCCCTTGTTTAACAGATGCAGACTCAGAGGGTTAGAGAAGCAATGCATTTGGGCTAACAAGTTCACAGAGCTGCCTAGGAAAGTGGAAACCAGAACTCGGGTCTCCTGACTGTCCATCCTGAGGGCATCCTGAAGCTCCCTTTTTTTCAGAAAGGAGAAAACAGAAACAGAGAAAGCGGGTGATTTGAAAATATGTGGTGGGGAAACATCCTTAGACACAGAGCATACAAGCAAACTGGTATGCAGTGGAACTCACCGAACATTGATTGAATAACATTCACGATATGCTAATGACCTTTTTTTAAATTTGAATTTTTAAATGAAACATGATACATGCATATAATATAAATAAATAAATAAATAAATAAATGCTAAATTTTACAAAGAAAAAAATTAAAACTCTACCCCCTCATTCCCCCCATCTGAGGTAACCACCATTAACCATTATTGACAATTTGAAGACTGACTTTCCAAATTTTTTTTGTACAGATATAAATAATTATTATACAAAAGTTGATTCATAATACATGCTATTCTGCACCTTCTTTTACTTCATATGAGAGACATTTTTCTATGTCAGTACATGTGGATTGCCTTATGTGTTATAACGTTTGAATATTATTCATCCAGTAGTCTCATAATAACATCTCCCTTGAAGAACAGAGTGCGAAAAATGTTTAAAGCACTGTGGGGAAAAACATGGGCATTTTATAAATGGTGTTGGGAATTTGGATAGTCATCCGGGAAAATGCAAAATTAGATCTATTCTTCATGCCATACACTAGAATAAATTTCAAATGTAAATATGAAATCATACAGAAGAAAACATGAGTGAAGTTACGCAATCTGGGAATGGGGAACTCTTACTTCTAACCATTACACCAAATCCGGAAGCAATAAAGCAAAAATGGATAAGCTTGACTACATAAATGTTTTTCCCATTGATCAGGCAAGAGAAAGAAAAAGAGAGGGTAAGAGAACCTAGATTTAAAAGACACTTAAGAGCTAAATCAATCAAATTCAGTGTATGAACCTTATTTGCATCCTTACTCCAACAAGCCAAGTATAAGCACACACACACTCAGACATGTGTATAAGACAATTGGGGAAATTTGAACACTGACCAAATATTTGAGATTAGAGAGTAGTAATTTCTTAAGTAGTTTAATGATATTGTAGGTTATATTTTTTTAAACAGCACGTATCTTTTAGAGATCCATACTGATAATATTTACGGATGGAATAGTAAGTTTTGGATTTGCTTTAAAATAATCCAGGGAGTGGGGCAGGAAGAAGTAGTTGGCACACAGATGAAATAAAAATGGCCACAGATTTAATAATTGATGCTGCTGTGTAAAAGTAAACGGTAGCTCATCATACTATTTTCTTCTTTTTGGATATGCTTAAAATTTTCCAAATTAAACACTAAAATTATAAAATATCACTGACACAGTGCCACAGTCAAGGAAACCTGCCCTGACTTTAGTTCTGCCACTTAATTTATTGAGCAATCACAGTCAAATACAAATTTCCTTGTATAATTACAATTTATACACTGCCTTATCATTCTGCTAATTTATGTATATGTTCATCTCCCAGTTAAACTCCAAACCTTGACTATCAGGAATAACATGTTTTGCTCATCTTTTTTTCCCCAGTGCCTATCTTGGTGTAGGATTAGATGGGGTTATGTTTCTCAAATTTTTCCATGGGTGGAGAGGTAAGTGCTTGCTCAACACAAATGTGGTCTGCTGGCTTTAAATAAATTAGATAAAAATTAGTATTAATTTTTAAGTATGTTGATTAAAAATATTAACGTTCAGAGTAATCACATTTTATCAATGACAGTAAAAATTGACAGAGAATAAGTGGTTATCAGAAGTGGGAGGTAGTGGGGGTGGGGGTGGAAGACATAGGTCAAAGGGTACAAGGTTGTAGTTAGGTGGGATAAATAAATCCGGACATCTAAAGTACAGCATGAGGACAAAACAAAACTATTTTTGTTTTGTTTTTTGAAGACAGGGTCTCACTCTGTCGTCCCCCAGGCTGGAGTACAGTGGCACGATTTCAGCTCACTGCAACCTCTGTCTCCCTGGCTCAAGACATCTTCCCACCTCAGCCACCAGGGTAGCTGGGACTACAGGCATGCACCAGCACGCCCAGCTAATTTTTGCGTTTTTTGTAAAGACGGGGTTTTGCCATGTTACCCAGGCTGACCTTGAACTCCTGAGCTCAGCCTCCCAAAGTGCTGGGATTACAGGCGTCAGCCACCATGCCTGGCTGAAGACTGTAGTTAATAATATCGTATTGTATACTGGAGATTAGCTAAAAGAGTAGATTTTGGGTGCTCTTACCACACACACAAAAAAGGTAACTATGTGAGATGTGAAATAATGGATATCTTAAGTTGCTTAACTGTAGAAATCATTTACTATGTATATCAAAACATCATGTTGTAGCCCTTAAGTTTATAAAATGCAATCATAAATGAAAATAAATTTTTAAAAATAGAATTGGTAGACAATAAGTGATAAAATATTTAAAATTATATTTTAAAATTATAAAAATAAAATAATTAATATTAATAGACATTTTATCAGCTGTAGAAATATCCTTTGTAATCTTTCACCAGGGTTGCTGTATCTGGCTTAGTGTTCTATAGCTTGAGCTATAGGTTAGGTTCTATATCCTTCCTCCTGTTAAAGTTTATTTTCCTCCTCTGTATTTTTACTAAATTAGAAAATTTCATCTCAGAGTTCAGGTCATCGGGAACGTCAGTGAATGTTTGGTGTCTCTTTTACACAAATTTGGGAAATCGAATGGAAAATAAAAGTGTTTCTTACTGAATACAACTTTCTCCACCCTGTCGGACGCTACATTGACAGAAATCATATCTAAAAGACAAGGGGCAAATGTTTCTGTTCCGGGACGACTTTGAAGACAGACTTTCTCACTCTTTCATTGACTGTGGCTCTAGAAAGTATTGTTTCGTGTTCTGTTGCAGTACTTGGATGCAGATGTGGATTTTTAAATATGCAACACTGTTACAGAAGGTAGCGACCCAGACATGAGCAGGGCAGGAGAGCCCCCCCTGACCTCCCTGCACCAGGCGACCACCAGGTGATAGTCTGGCAGTTGTTGAGCTCTCTCTCCAAAACAATAATTGGATGCAGCCGGGATCAGGGAAAGGCAGTCTCCCAATAGGCAGAAACACCCAGAACTAAGATCTCAGGAGTTGGATGAGTGGGCTCACGCAGGGGCACTAAGAGGCAAACCAGCAGAGTTTCACAGGTATATGACCTTCTGAGAGCATTCTACTGGTGAGGGAACAATGCTTCAAGGGAGCATGTGTACAACTCCAGGAAACACACGTGCATGCGTACAGCCCACCCCAAGGGAAGAATGCGGGGGCAGGGGAGGGACGCAACAGCCTGGAAGCGTGCCAGTGTATAAAACCCCAAGTCAAAGGTCAAACAGCACACTTGATCTCTCAAGGCATCCGCTTGGCCCTCTTCCAAGTGCACTTCTTTCGCTCCTGCTCTAAAGATTTTTAATAAACTTTTACTCCTGCTCTAAAACTTGCCTCAGTCTCTCCTTCTGCCTTATGTCCCTCGGTCAAATTCTTTCTTCTGAGGAGGCAAGAATTGAGTTTTCTGCAGATCCATATGAATTCGCCACGGCTAACAGCATTACATCTTGGTTTTCTTAATTTCCTTCTCTAGCAAATGAAAAAAAACAAAAACAAAAAACATTAACTATTGGTAATCTATCAAATTCCCAGAAATCAAATTCTTTGCACCATCATTTAGCCTACTGAAGAAATTCTGATATCGTCTCCTGAGCATATGGGGTATTCTGTCCCTAATGTGAGAGCTTAGACCCCTAGATTACACCATTCAAGATACTAAGATTCCTGAATTAAGGTTAAAAGCAGCATTATGAAAAACATGTATGTTAATTTCATTCCTTATTTAAAGACAAGAGTGTACCATTCCCACCCACAACAACGCCCTCCACTGGGGAAAAGCAGGCTGTTGCTCTAACTGCCTGTTTCTCCAGTCGGCATGCCAAAAAAATATGCACATAGAGGCCACCGTTTGTTCTTACAATTTGCAGTATTTCTGTCAATGCTAAATCAAGATTAGGAAGCATATAGTTAAGTGCCAATTATTCTTTGTGAGAAAGCATTTTGTGATTTGACACTCAAGAGCTCAGGAGTTTGAGAGCAGCCTGGGCAACATAGGCAGACCCCACCTCTACAAAAAAAAAAAAACTTTAAAATTAGCCAGGTGTGGTGGCAAACACCTGTTGTCCCAACTACTAGGGAGGCTGAGGCCAGAGGCTCATTTGAGTCCAGGAGGTCAAGGCTGCAGTGAGCTGTGATCACACCACTACACTCCAGCCTAGGTGATAAAGCAAGACCCTGTCTCAGAAAAAAAAAGAAGGCAAACTTTTTCATCTACACATGCACTATCAGACATGAACAACAGTGTTCACGCAGCATGATCTGTAAAAGTAAACCAACTGGAAACAAGCCAATTAGAATGACCACAGACAACATATGAGTTAACTGCAGTCTAGTCATAAGTTCATTCTATTGTATGAACATGTTCAGCAGTGAAAATAAATGAATCAGAGCTAAGTACAGCAACATGGGTGAATCTCAAAAACATATTGAACAAAAGAAGCAAGTCACGGGAAAACATATGTGATTTCATTTATAGAAAGCAAAAAAAAGGTAAAAGTAAACAATAAGTTATTTGGTGATACATACGCAGGTGGTAAAGCTAGAATGAAAAGAAAGGGAATTAAAGATAGGAAAGTTAAGAACACGGTAACGGAGGGAGATAAGGAAGAGAGAGGGGCGCCGCTGCGAAAAGTGGATGTGGGGGCCTGTAAAGTACTGGCAATGTTCTAGTTCTCCCAGGTGTTCGTTACACAACTACTCATTTTACTGACTTTTGTTTTGTTTTTTGGGGGACTGAATCTCGCTCTGTCACCCAGGCTGGAGTGCAGTGGCACGACCTCAGCTCACGGCAACCTCCACCTCCCAGGTTCAAGCGATTCTCATGTCTCAGGCTCCCAAGTAGCTGGGATTACAGGAATGTACCACCACACCTGGCTAATTTTTATATTTTCAGTAGAGATGGTGTTTCGCCATGTTGACCAGGCTGGTCTCAAACTCCTGGCTCAAGTAATCTAAGCGCCTCGGCCTCCCAAAGTGCTGAGATTACAGGCATGAGCCACAGTGCCTGGCCATTTTTCTGTTTTTCTTAAACGTGTAAATATAAGTTTATAGCTTATATTAAGATATAATACCACCTCTCTGAATATATTATATCACACAGCCACACACAAAACTATCTGAGTCATTGATGCATTCACGTGACTTATGTCAACAAAATAATACAGTAACTATAGATTAACAAAAACATATGCAAATGATATAGAAATATTCATTAAAACAATATTAGTTACAACTCGGCCTGGCACAGTAGTTCACGCCTGTAATCCAAGCACTTTGGGAGGCCGAGATGGGCAGATCACTTGACGTCAAAAGTTCAAGACTAGCCTGGTGAACATGGTGAAACCCTGTCTCTCAAAAAATACAAAATTAGCCAGGCGTGCTGGCATGCACCTGTAGCCCCAGCTACTCTGGAGGCTGAGGCATGAGAATTGAACCCAGGAGGTGGAGGTTGCAGTGAGCCAGGATAGTGCTACTGCACTCCAACCTGGGCAACAGAGTAAGACCCTGTCTCAATTAAATAAAATAATAAAATAAAACAACATTAGTTATAACTGAATGTTAGCTGAGACTGACCAACACAATCCTTTGATTGCAGAAAGTAGCTTCCAGCTGTGCCTCCACACCTTCAGCAGGATGAATCACTTTCCTCTGACCTGCTCTCTTTCATCATTTCCCTTGTCTTCATAAGTCTTTCTTAATACAATGAACCAAAAGTTGATCGGATTTATGCCTTGGGAGGAGGCTGACGTAGTCAGTGAGTCAGGGCACAAGCTCTGGGGAGAGATCTGGTACATTGACATCTCACCACTGTTAGCTATGTGATTTTGCTTCTGTGGCTTACTTTCCTATTCTGTAAAATAGGCATAAGAATAGTGCCTCACAGTGTGGTTGAGTTAATACACATACACCTGCATTGACTCCAGTGCCCACTGTGTGGGAAGTGCTCCCACAAATGTTGACAGTTCTTTTTCAAAATTGCAGTCACATCCAGTGGTCCCACCTCCTTCAAACTGTACCCTAATAACCTTAGTAATGAAGATGGTGTTATTGGTAACAACCTTTTACTCATTACCTGCGATGCACCAGCATTGTCCAAGGTGCTTTGGATATAATACCTCATTTACTTGTTTCAATAAATTCTCTACTGTCCACTTGATTGGAGTTTGGGGTGTCCTCTAACTCTTTGCTCAAATATTTACACACAAATAATCTTATGATTTATTCCACAGATAGCTAATCCCATCCAGCATGTACTTTCCTATTCCATTTTCTGACTACAACCTCATTCCCTTTATTTCCTAATTTACAGGTTGGGCGGCTACCTTAGTGCAAGCCCCCTTGAAATCGCTTAGGGAATAGAGAAGAAAACAAGCAAGAGAAAGAGAGTGTGTGTATCAGAATGAGCCTTCAGAAACAAATTAATTTTCTTGAAAAAGGTCCATTTTCCTAGAAGAGAGTGAAACTGCTTGTGCGTGGAGCCCCCAAGTTGTAAGCAAGCTAAGAATTTTGAAGATTAAAAATAGAAATCCTTGGCAACACCCTCATCAATCAAGCAATGAAGCCTCTCCGGCAAGTGCCATGACACTGAGCATCAGATTGAAATTTGTCCATTGAAGACGGCTTTGTCAGTTCCCCAGATTTAAGATCCAGACCCACAACTTCCCTCTGCACATTGTAGTTAAATGATCAAGGAAGAAAAGTAGCCTAAAGGCCCCTTCATGTGTTTTCTGTTTACTTGTCACAGATGCTGACCCATTCTCTAGATTTCCAGAGTTACCGACCCATAGGAGAGCTTGACTTTCACAGAATCTGCACCAGCTCAGAGCCCTACTTACAGATCAAGACACCTGGGAAAATGCTACTGAGTAAAAGAGCCACAGAGGGGCGAGCAGATAATAGGCACTGCAGTGTCCCGTGACAAGTCCTAATGGGCTAAATTGGAAGGCCTGGTCCCTGCTTTGAAGAAATATTGGGGAAGCCAATAAAATTAAAATAAAATGTAATTAACATAGCCTTTAAAAGCATTTCCCAGTACAGTCTTCTTCTGTCCTTCCCCAGGACTCTTGGAAGCAGATACTATTTTTCCTATTTTACAAAAGAGGTCCCCGAGGCTCTGTCCAGGGTGACAGGGCAGTTACTGTGGCAGCTGGGGTCTGAGTCAGACTGAATGTCTCTGAAACTTCCCCTGTTACTGCAGTGTGCTCCAGTGCATTCTGTACACAGAGTGCATTCCAGCTATCTGCCAGGTATTGTGCTAGGTGCTGGGAGAAAGTAGAGACAGGACAGAGTCCCCGAGAGCACAGTCCTCTGATAGATACTGACAAATACACAAGCACATCAAGTCCTGGGCAGTGACTGCCACATCTTGGCACAGAGAAGAGGCACCTCCACCATGGGGCCTGAGAGATAACCAGGAATTGGTCAGACAAAGGAGAATGTTCCATGAAGCCCTTGTTCCCGGGACCCACCTTGAGCAATCTTCAATTTGTCAGCCAAAACCACAGTGTTCTTCCACTCTTTAGGGCTCACGGAATTCATGTACTTCACATTTTTATACTGTCAGGCAAATATTTTTAAAAGAACCATCTACTCTAGAAAAAAAATGGATATATAATACACACATATTTTGTATACGTATTTTGTATACATACATGGATACATATTTTGTATACATATTTTGTATATATACATGTATCCATGTATGTATGTATGTATGTATTACATTGGCACAAAAGTAATTGCAGTTCTTGCCATTAAAAGTAATGGCAAAAAACGCAATTACTTTTGCATCAGTCTAATATATATATACACACAAACACACACAGAGATAGATTTAGATAATTACATACAGGACAAAAATTCATTAAATTCATTGAGCATCATTTTTCCTTGTATAATGTTACCTAATCAGCCAGTTGTTTCAGTTATTCATTTATTCAATTATTTGTTTAAGAGACACTTTAAAAGTACTTACTGGGTCTAGATATGCCTCACATAGTGTTAGTCACTGACACAAGGCCCCTACCCTCATGGCACTCACATTCTACTGGGGGAGGCAGACACAAGTAAATCTAAATAAATGAGATATTTGCAGACTGAAATAAGTCTTACAAAGTAAATACAGTAATGAAAAAGAGGGAGACAGGAGAGGTCACTTTAGATAGGAACATCAGAGCAGTCTGTTCTGAGGAAGGGATATCTGAGCTGAGGCCTGGCAATTTCAAGAGCTGGGAATAGCATTCCAAGTGAGCGGACGTGAAAAACAAAGGCCTAGAGGCAGTAAGAGCTTGTGGTGTCTGACCTGGTTCTCAACCTTGGCTGTCCATTACATTAACCTGCCACCCTCCTGGCACATCAATATGTATCACCAACCAGGGAAGCTCACCTGAGCCCTGGTGTCCAGAGTTTTTACTGGAGTTTCATTGTGTAGGCATGACTGACTGAATCATTGACCACAAAATTGAACTCAACTTCCAGTTCCCTTCCCCTCTCCATCGTTCAGTTTGATATCACCCAGCTCAAAGCCCCAGTCCTCTAATCACATAGTTGGTCGTTCTGTCATGGTAGGCCTCTGTCCTGAGTCATCTCGTTAGCGGAAACTCAGATGTGATCCGAGGGGCCCACCATGAATGGTAAAGACACTCCTATCACTTGGGAAATCCCAACAGTGTAGTGATTCCCTCCCAAGAACTAGAGACAAGGACAATTCTTCAAGGCTAGTGACTGAGCTGGAGGAGGGCAGGCTTGATGAAGGTTGAGGCTATAATCAGGAGTGTGGTTTTGGATGTGTGAAGTTTGGATCACCTCTTAGACAGCCAAGTGGAGATGTCAAGTAGACAGTTGGGTGGACCTGACTGGCCTCTCGGGGGAGGTCTGGGCTGCTGATACAAATCTGAGAACCATCAGCAAGTTAACGGCATTCAAAACCAGCAGACAGGATGAGATCCCTTAGCAAGCTGACAGTAAAAGAGAAAATAAATGATCCAGGCCTAAGCCCCAAAGCAAACCATCATTTGGAATTATTATGACCTACAACTCTGATTTTCCTGCTCTTTCATCTTTATCTGCTCAGGCAGCAAAAAATGAAAGGTTGTCCCAGTTGAGGTAAGTCCCATCTTTTAATATGCATAAACCTCCTCAAAAATCATGTTTTTGAACATGAAGCAAAGCCAGGAGCTTCCCACAGTGGATAACAGATTCAATCCGGGGAGGACACATACTGTTTATTATCTTCTAACACAGACAGTAATATAGAACAAGAAAAAGGCAGAAAGCCAGAACATTTGAAATAACACTCGGGTTATACAAAGACATATTCTTTTCACCAATGTAAAACTATAAAAGGATAAAAATGATGTATTTTTCATTTCAACAGCAGTTTCCCCTTATTTATAATGTTCAGTTTCCCTACAGTAAATGTAGCACAAATGATATTGTTTGAATTTTTTAAAAAAAAGAAAAGAAAAGCTTTAGACATGGTAGCCCCAGCTACTCAGGGGGCTGAGATGGGAAAATCACTTGAGGCCAGGAATTCAAGTCCATGCTGGGCAACACAGGGAGACCTCATCTCTAAAAATAAAAAAGAACTTGTTCATTCCTTATTGCAAACAAAATTTACTTATTCAGCTTCTTTTTTTTTTCTTTCTTTTTTTTTTTGGTGGGGGGATGGAGTCTTGCTCTGTCACCCAGGCTGGAGGGTAGTGGCACCATCTTGGCTCACTGCAACCTCCACCTCCGGGGCTCAAGTGATTCTCCTGCCTCTGCCTTCTGACTAGCTGGTATTATAGGCACGCACCACCATGCCCAACTAATTTTTGTATTTTTCGTAGAGACGGGCTTTCGCCATGTTGGCCAGGCTGATCTCAAACTCCTGACCTCAAGTGATCCACCCACCTCAGCCTCCCAAAATGCTGGAATTACAGACATGAGCCACCGTGCCCAGCCTACTCGTTCAGCTTCTAAGAGTTAATGCAGAACTACTGTAAGTCCAATACAGGAACTATCCTTAAGAGCACTGCCACTTCAGTCCAAGATTATTAGGGAGATATTCAATAAGAACTTCATCCACAGCCATCCCAAGGGTAATGATAATATTTAATAATAAAAAGAGCATTTAACATTCACGGAGCTCTTAGGATATGCTAGCCCTCAGCTAAGTGCTTCAGAGACATTATTGTTATATAGTAATATATTTAATATTTATTTAATAGATGCATTTAATTTTTATTTAATAATAAGCAATAACACTGAAAAACAGATATGATTTCTATCCCTAATATACAAATGAGAAAACTAGGGCTTACAGAGATCAAGTAACTTGCTTCTCGACAAGCCACAAGACATTTAACCTAGATAACAGAGCCACCAAGTTAGGAAGCAACAAAGCCACGATACTAACCCAGTTCTGTCTGAAGCTGAAGCAGTAAGAGGCCCAGGAGTTAAAGGAGAGATCGTCACTGGTGCCCTTAAAATACGTCTGGGATGCATGAGTGCTTCACTGATGGAGTTTTTTTCTGCTAGAAGTAATTTAGTTCAATGTGCAGGTCCTGTGAGGTTCCTGTGCTTTCTTGGCCAGCAGGAGTGAGAAGAGGCAAGACAGTCTTTCTGCGGCACTGAGGTGGCTGCTGGGTGAGGGGAGTTCAACAGTGGAGTCAGGCATTCCGTTGTTCAGCTTCAGGTTAATTGACTTTCAGGCTTTTCTTATTTCTCCCCTTTCAATCATGGAGGCTGTCTGGATTAGAGGCACTCTCCCTCCTCTATTCTAGGCCAGAAACTCACCACAGCTGTCTGTGAATGGGGGCGGGAACTTGCCTCCCCAGGTCAGGCCACTGGGATTGTGCCAATTACCTTTTACCTGCCAAGTGGCAAGGTATCAGAACGTCTAGACCTCAGGACACCAGATTATCGATAACAACTATTATTTATTAATCATTTGCTCATTACTACATATATTATAAGTATAATATAGTTCATATTTTTATTATGAATATGAGGTTGTTTATATTTTTATTATAAATATAAAGTTGTTTATATTTTTATCATTATATAAATATAGTTGTTTATATTTTTATCATTATATAAATATAAAGTTGTTCATATTTTTATCATTATGTAAATATAAAGTTGTTTATATTTTTATCATTGTATAAATATAAAGTTGTTTTTATTATTAAAGTTGTTTATATTATTATGTTTATAAATTATTTATCACTTACTATAGTAATAAGAGCCATTAATTATTAAGTGCCTTCTATGCATCAGGCATTTAACAAATATTTTTATTTTGTCTTCATAGCACTCAGCATGGAAGATAATATAATCCCCTATAGAGACTCAGAAGATTTCAAATTTGCCCAAAGTCACACAGTGGCAGAGCCGGGACTGGACCCAGGTGTCTAGGACTCCTAAATGCATGTACTTTGCCACATAAATTCTGCCTCTAATACACTGGATTGCAGTCCCTTAGCTCCAGGCAGAAGTCAGAGGTATCTGTTTATCAAGGATGTCAGTGTCTGCTAGACTCAGCCCTATGGGGCTGCAGGTAATAAAAATCTCCCATCTATTTTATGAAACTGAATATATTAACATTATTCAGACAGCCATTACTACTCAGTGCCCTGATATGGCAATAGCCTCAGGGGTTATTGACACGCATGGAGTTCTTTCCCTCCATGCCAATGGTGCCACACTGATGTGCTTTTGTAAATTTAATTTTTTAATTCATACGTTTGTTGTTATAACTTTTTCTCCCTCCTACCTCACTATTAGGTTGTAAGCTACCACGTACGTTTCACTGATGTCCTTGTGACTGCTAGGGTGTCTTACTAGGGTGGCACACTGTTGACCTTTGGGCTGGATAGTTCTTTGTTGGGTAGGGGTCATCCTGTGCATTATAGAATATTTATCAGCAGCCCTGGCCTCTACCTTCTAGATGTGAGTTGTAACTCTCCCTTCCTCCCCAGGCATGCCTATCGAAGATGTCTCTGGACGTTGCCAAATGTCCCCTATTGTGGAGGGGCAAAATCACCCCCATTTAAGAACAATTGTTCTAGGTGAGCACACACCCACACAAATGCACACAGACACATTTCTTTTTTTTTTTTTATACTTTAAGTTCTAGGGTACGTGTGCACAACGTGCAGGTTTGTTACATATATACACATGTACCATGTTGGTGTGCTTCACCCATTAACTTGTTATTTACATTAGGTATATCTCTCCTAATGCTATCCCTCCCCCCTCCCCCCCCCACCCCACGACAGGCCCCGGTGTGTGATGTTCCCCACCCTGTGTCGAAGCGTTCTCATTGTTCAATTCCCACCTATCAGTGAGAACATGCGGTGTTTGGTTTTTTGTCCTTGCAATAGTTTGCTGAGAATGATGGTTTCCAGTTTCATCCATGTCCCTACAAAGGACATGAACTCATCCTTTTTATGGCTGCATAGTATTCCATGGTGTATATGTGCCACATTTTCTTAATCCAGTCTATCATTGATGGACATTTGGGTTGGTTCCAGGTCTTTGCTATTGTCAATAGTGCCACAATAAACATACCTGTGCTTGTGTCTTTATAGCAGCATGATTTATAATCCTTTGGGTACATACCCAGTAATGGGATGGCTGGGTCAAATGGTATTTCTAGTTCTAGATCCTTGAGGAATCACCACTCTGTCTTCCACAATGGTTGAACTAGTTTACAGTCCCGCCAACAGAGTAAGAGTGTTCCTATTTCTCCACATCCTCTCCAGCACTTGTTGTTTCCTGACTTTTTAATGATTGCCACTCTAATTGGTGTGAGATGGTATCTCATTGTGGTTTTGTTTTGCATTTTTCTGATGGCCAGTGATGATGAGCATTTTTTCATGCACACAGACACATTTCTAATATGCTACATCTTACAGTGCTGCTCAAAGGAGGAAAGAGCTAGCCAGGCTTATCAGACAAAAACATAAGAAAATAAATAGAAAATAAGCTTGGCGTGATATTTTGAGGAAATCTCACAGAAGCCTTCATAAGTTCAGCTCATAATGTCTGTGACATATTTCTGTTGCTCAGAAGCCTATTTTATTTTCTATACGTTTGTACTTCTGAAGAGGGAAAGTTCTCAGATAAGTGACAATATAAAACAAAATTTGCTACATCTGCCACGATGGTGACCCCCTGTGTTCCTATCATGTCACTCAAATAGCCAGTCTGAGAAGCAAAATATTACCTACAAATCTCCACTTTTCCTACAACAGATACATTCTACAACATTTCCATTCTACTTGAATCAATACTTCTGTTGATAAAAATATATAGATACTGGTTAAAATATCACTGTAAAGTTGATTCCTTCTCATGTTTTCCATCCCATGAGACTACGTGAGATAGTACTGCATTGATTCTTCTTTGCACAGATACCTTTACCTGATCAAATTCTGACTTTTGAATAGACTTGCTCAGAGAATGTCCGTGAGGCAAACAGCGTGATGGTCTCCATCATTTAGAACTTGCTGCCAATGTGCATGTTCAGCTACTGATAGCAGCATGCTGGAAGAATTTATTTCTCTCTCATAAGAACTTGGTCGATTTTTTCCTGCTCTTAAGATATCATCTTGTCAAAAAAATGAAACCACTCGGAGTCATTCATACACGCAGTTGTTTGCATTATTTGGTCATCCAGGGTTGCTGATTGGGAAAAAAAAAATCCTTATCAATGGTACAGATGGAATTGCTGGGTCATAGGATGCCTCCATTTTCAACTCTAAGATATGATGCCAGTGTGTTCTCTCAATGGCTAAACCAATTAAAAATTCCACCAGCAGCATATTAAAAGTATAGCTACTTCTCACACAAATGGGTGTCCAATTACACTAACAATATTTGGAAACATATATTACATTTGCGTTACTACAATCCATTGAGGAATTTTACCTTTTTAAAGAATTTGTTGACAGATAGATATGCTTCTGCCTGCTCTCTGACCAACCTGCTGAGGAGATACTGGGTCTGGAGATAGTTTGCTTGTGCAAATACAAACAGGAAGCTCCAGAACGCCTGATCTGAATCTCGACCTTCTCTCTGAGTGGACTCCAAATGACCTCTCTTTCTTGCCATTTTCACTGCTGAAGTTGGAAAGTGACTTTGAGGACATTAAAAATTACATTTTTCCAGAATCGTTGATTTGAGTCATGAGTATACCCGTGTAGAAACGATTGGCTGACCATCAAAGATAACTGATCCCTTCCACCGTGCACAGTCGTTGTGGGAAGGGGCTGCCCAGCCCCAGTTCTAGGCAGGACTAGCTCTCACCAAGGGAATGATGCTGTGCTGTTGTCTCCTGCAGGTCAAAATGACTAAGAAACATACGTGTCTTCCACACAGTCACTCTCCCTGACCCATCTGCTGAATGAAAATAACTCTGGGAACTTAGCAGAGGGCAGAGCCACAGGATGAAGGCACCTGGGCTCTGAGTAGCCAATCAGTATGGACCAGGAAACTAAGAGAGAAATATGTTTGTTCGTGTTAATCCTTGAGAAGTGGTGTTAATCTACTATAGCAGCTAACATCACCCAATTAATACAGAAAACATATGCAGCTAAAATAGACTTGAATATATATTTGGAAAAATTTGAATTCTTCCCTTCCATAAAGAAGTATACATATTTGCAGTTCCCAAGTTCACAGATGCAGGATCCAAGGGTCAAGTGTCTTCAAAAGCCAACAGCTTTGAATTTGCTCTTAACCCCTCTTGGACATAGGCTTCTGCGCCATAAAGGCAGTAAAGTCACTGGCCCAGTGCTCAGTACCAGTTGATATTCATTAAATGTCAATTTCCTTCATCTCTTCAGTTTTTAATCTCTAACTAAATAGAGAGATGCTGCTCAGACGCTCTACATTGTGGAGGCATAATCAAATATAAACCACTTGATCAAAAGTAAAAACAGAAGAAGGAAGCCTACATGAAAAGAAAGCACAGAAATCTTTCTTGGCCACAAGTACATAGAAACACCATTTGCTCTTGCCTGATTCTGCTGTTGTCCTTAGTGTATGGTTACTGTTAGACCTTGATACTGGTGTTTTCTTTTGTTTTGTTTTGTGTTGTTTTGTTTTGTTTTGTTCGAGACAGGGTCTTGCCTGTCACTCAGGCTAGAGTGCAGTGGCACAATCTCAGCTCACTGCAGCCTCGACATGCCAGGCTTCAAGCGCTCCTCCTGCCTCAGCCTCCTGAGTAGCTGAGATTACAGGCACACACTACCATGCCCAGCTAGTTTTTTTATTTTTTGTAGAGATGGGGTCCCACTGTGTTGCCCAGGCTGTTCTCAAACTTCTGGGCTCAAGCAATCCTCCCACCTCAGCCTCCCAACGTGCTGGGATTACAGGCGTGAGCCACTATGCCTGTTCCTTGAAATTGTTTTGATCTCTTCAGAAATCATTTTAAGGAAGCAAAGGCCAGCTCACAATATGCTTTTATATTACCTTATCAATTTTGTTTTGTGCTGATTTAAAAGATAATTTTGTCCCAGCTACTATGGAGGCTGAGGTAGGAGAATTGCTTGAACCTAAGAGGAGGAGTTTGCAGTGAGCCGAGATCGTGCCACTGCACTTCATCCAGCCTGGGTGACAGAGTGAGACTGCAGAAAGAAGGAAAAGAAAGGATAGGGAAGGGAACAGAAGGATAGGGAAGGGAAGGGAAAGATAGGGAAGAGAAGGGGAGGGGAGGGGAGGAGAGGAGAGGGGAAGGAAGAGGAGAAGAGAAAGAAAGGAAAGAAAGAAAGAGAAAGAAAGAAAGAAAGAAAGAAAGAAAGAAAGAAAGAAAGAAAGAAAGAAAGAAGGAAAGGAGGGAGGGAGGGAGAGAGAAAGAGAGAAAGAAAGAAAAAGAAAGAGAAAGAAAGAAAAGAAAGAGAGAGAAAGAAAGGAAGGAAGGAAGAAAGAAAGAATCTTTTAAAATTTGATTCTGGGTCATATATCACTAGAAAAAATAATTTTGATGATTTTTCAATTTTTCCAAAAGCAATACTGATAAAGACCCCACATTATCCCCCTACTTTTTTCTTTCAGTTGAAGCCTCTATTTCCAACCAACTTGCTGGCAGAATAGGGTGGTTTTTTAAATCTTTGTCATGTTTTCCTATATGTAAAACTAATTCATACACTTTGTAAAATACATTAAATTCAGACAATAGAGAAGTGCAAAAGAAAAAACAGGGAAATGGGATCATGTTATACATCTAGTTTGCCAATTTGTTTTCTCGATTAAACCATTTATCTTGGGTATCTCTTCATGCCCCTCCTTCCCATGGCAAACACCCTCAATGCATTTAAAGTCCTGAGATTTGGTTAAAAGGTGAAAGTGGACGAGTGATGTTTACGCCAACATTCCTTCAGCGCTGACAGCTAATTCCAGACCAGGTTTCATGAGTGTGGGCAGAAACATGCAGGTCCAAGGAACTCATCTGGGCAGAGATGTGCCCAGGGAGGTGTGAGTTTTCCAAGCTTTATTCAGAGCTGGTTCCCTACAAGGGCGTCTTTGTGGCAGGAACCTGCACGTGAATACTGCCAGAGAGGAGAATGCGAATTACTTGAGTATGACGGTAGCTGTCTGCATGGAGAGAAATCACTTATCATGGAGCTTCTGGATGTGTCAACTCAAAGCTCAGAGCAATTAAACAAGGAAGTGGGACTGAGTCTCAGACACGGGCGGGTACACCAGGGTGAGGATCCCTCCTGCACACACAATAGGCTTGCAGGTCTGTTTCCATCACAAGCCGTACTTAAATAAAAGTGATCTCTCCACAAGGCTGAGATGGGCTGTAGCAGCTGCTGCCGGATCTCTATATTCCACGCAGGTGCCTGCCTGGTTCCCTAAGATCCCTGGGCATTGTACCGGGAGGATGGCACCCAATGGCAAGATTGCCTGTTTCAACAGTGCCATCGTGTGTTAGGACAAGCAACAACAGCCAAAACTCTGGGACACCCTTGTCTTCCGGTTTTCTCTGCTGGAGGAGACAGCATCCAAGAATCAAGGAATATCCCTGAGGGAGGAGAGACGTTGGAGTTATCACAGAAGAAAGGATAGCAGGGGAAAAATACATTCTCACTACAAATGGTATGGGATAATAAAGTGAGCTAAGTTAAATATTAAGATAAATATGTGTCTCAAGGTGATGAATAATAAGAATAAAACGAGCTATCTTTTGTTATGTGCTCTCTATGACTCAGGCATATGAGATGCTTTGCTCATTGACTCTTCACAGCAGAACCTATTAGGCATTTATTTATTTTCCTTATTTGAGGAAACTGAAGATCAGAAACATTAAGGAACTTGCCCAAGTTCCACTTGCAAAGTCATGGTAAAGTGGCCGCTCAAATGTAAAACTGTCTACTCTCAAATCCAGGTTCTTTTCATGATTCCAGAGAATATGGGGGAAATAAAGGAATGAATGTCCGCAGAAGGGAAGGGTCCCTCATTACACTCTCTGGCCCATGTAGGTGTGGAGGGGTCAGGAAAGATCTGAGATTCCTCAAACCCAAGGATAGCATTCCTACCAATTGAGAATTCCAGGTTCCAACATCACCATCTCCAGCCTAAACCTTACAAAATATCTACTCGTTTTCACCTCCAATTTTTTATTATATGTGTTAAAAAAAAATTATGGCAAAGTGTGTCCATCGAGAATATCCTTCTTGTTAAATGTCACACTGATTTCCTGGGCATAATGCCGATCTTGGTTTAATTGATCTTTGTTAATGAAGACAGAGCCTTGTAAAGTACAGTAGTTACATTAAATTGATGTGACCTATCCATCTGCTACTAGCACAAATGTTTGTGACAATAGAAAGAGTTGTCAGAGAGGAAACATCCCAGGGTTTTATTACCGCAGCTAACAACCCAACATAACTCAATGCAAATAAGTCTCATCCTGCCGTTCTGTCTTACTGCTGCTGACATTTTGGTCCCCAGGAGCTTTGATGGGACTGAGGGTATACTAATCTGGGATGATTTGGTTGCAAGGAAGGAAAACACACTAAACTAGTTAATGGGAAATTGTGGGTTTTCTCTGAAAGAATCTTTTGTCAATTTTCCTCCATGGAAACCTTATGGACTCAGAAAGCACCAGGTGTCCAAAAATTCTGTTACAAAGCAAAATGTTAATTAAATCAGACGTCTCTGTGTAAAAGCTAAGATGTAGCTGACAAAAATCAGCTGTTGGAATTTCCTGATGGAAATCAGCTGTTGGAATTTCCTGATGAAATCAGGAAAGTGGTGAGTGGAGGTGGAAGGAAGAGGAGTGAAAATAAACTTATGATACAAAATGGGGAGAGAAGAGATACCATCAATAATTAATGGAATGAGAAAGGTCAAACTGGTAACAACTGAGGAACAAAAATGATGATATAACTGGAGAAGGAAGAGGGGGGCTGGGAAGGTAGATTGTGGTATGTATTGGTTAGCTACTGCTGCATCACAAAGTACCCAAAAATTCAGTGGCTTGATACAACAGTCATTTATGATTGTTCATCCATCTGCAGACATACTATAATTCAACTGATCTACGCTGGGTCTGGCCAGATTGCTTTGCTTCTGTATATGAGTCTATAAGTGACTGGGATGGTGTTGCCCTACATTTTCTATGCTCCTCCCAAGACCAGCAGGCTAGCCAGATGATGACAGAGGTACAACAGAACAGACCCTACTGCACAAGCACTTTTCTTTTTTCTCTCTCTCTTTTGTTTTTGAGACAGGGTCTCACTCTTTCACACAGTTGCCCAGGCTGGAGTGCAGCGGCGCAATCATGGCTCACTGCAACCTCTGCCTTTCGGGTCCAGGTGATTCTCCTGCCTCAGCCTCCCAAGTAGCTGGGATTACAGGCATGTGCCACCATGCCCGGCTAATTTTTATATGTTTAGTAGAGACAGGGTTTCACCATGTTGGCCAGGCTGGCCTTGAACTCCTTGTCTCAAGTGATCCACCTGCCTCGGCCTTCCAAAGTGCTAGGATTACAGGCATGAGCCACCGCACCTGGCCCACAAGCACTTTTCTAACCCCTACTTACATCATACCTGAGAACATCCCATTATCTAAAGCATATCACGTGGCTAAGCCCAAAGTCAAAATCTGGGGATACACAAGTGGGCAGGGCTGCAAAGTCACATGGCAGTGGGCCTGGGGTTAGGGAGGGGTGAAGGCTTGGAACCAGTTGGAGCAGGAAAGGTGGGTGGTGGTACAGGTGAACTAAATTCTCATCAACCACAGCAGAAACCAGTAGATAAAGCCCTACAGGGTTGGTGGTGTAGTAGTACAACTTTACTACTTAGAGAAGCTAATTAACACTCAGAGTCAGAGGACTAAAAATTGAAACAGAGGTGTTTCCTTCTGAAGAGCAGTACTAAGACTAGGAGGGGGAAGTTAAGGTTTATAAACCTTTTATTTGTTTGACTTTTTTTAACTGTATATAATTATTAAAATTTGGTGATTTTTTTGTGTGTGTTTTTTTGTTTTTGTTTTTGTTTAGACAGAGTTTCACTCTGTCGCCCAGGCTGGAGTGCAGTGGCACGGTCTCGGCTCACTGCAACCTCCACCTGCTGGGTTCAAGCGATTCTCCTTACCTCAGCATCCCGATTAGCTGTGATTACAGGCGTGCACCACTATACCCGGCTAATTTTTGTATTTTTAGTAGAGACAGGGTTTCACCATGTTGGCCAGTCTGGTCTTGAAGTCCTGGCTTCAAGTGATCTGCCTGTCTCAGCCTCCCAAAGTGCTGGGATTATAGGGGTGAACAACCACGCCCGGCCATTAAAGATGTTGTTTAAATTAACTTAAAATTTGAAAACAGACACTGTTCACTATGTACAATACAGCAGATCAAAGACAAAGCACAATCTTCTCCCTCAAGGGGTTCACAGTCTCATGAGGAAGATGGACTCTAAACAAAAGCAGCAACACTGCACCTGAAGAGAACACAGTGGACCCGCAGTGAAAAGGAGACGGGCACTCAGTCACTAGGGATTGGTCAGGGAAGACAACAGAGACAGGGACATTTGAACTGAGTCTTACAGTCCAGGAGTCTGAGAACAGACTCTTTACCCTGCCCAAAATCTTTAGAAATGGAGAACCATTTATTTAAGCCTATAGCTATCCTAGAAAGGAAAAAGGAGTGCCCTTGGTGGGTGAGTGTATTAATCGGTTCTCACACTGTGATAAAGAAATACCTGAGTCTGGGTAATTTATAAAGAAAAGAGGTTTAATTGGTTCGTGGTTCTGCAGGCTGTACAGCAAGCATACTGGCTTCTGTTTCTGGGAAGGCTTCAGGAAGCTTCCAATCGTGGCGGAAGGTGAAGGGAGACAGAGGCACTTCAAACAGCCTCTGGAAGAACAGAGATGGGGTGGGGGACGGGGGTGCTACTTACTTTTAAACCACCAGATCTCGTGAGAACTCTATCACCAATACAGCACCAAAAGGGTGGTGCTAAACCATTTATGGTACAAAATGGGGAAAGAAGTGATAGCGTCAATAATTAACGAAATGAGAAAGGTTAAGCTGGTAACAACTGAGGAACAAAAATGGTGATATAACTGGAGAAGGACTGATATAACTGGATATAACCCACCTGCATGATCCAATCACCTCCCACCAGGCCCCGCCTCAAACACTGGGGATTACTATTTGGCGTGAGATTTGTGCAGGAACATTCAGTCCAAACCACATCAGTAGGTAACCATGGTAAGTAGCCAAAATGCAAGGGGTATTCAAATGAAGAAAACACCCACAGCCTGAAATGTACTCAGGAAGCTGCTGCAGCACTTATGGGCATATACCCCAAAGAATGGAAAGAAGGAATTCAAAGAGATACTTGTACACCTATGTTCATGGCAGCCTTACTCACAATAGCCCACAGGATGGAAGCAAACTAAGTGTCCACCAACAGGAGAATGGATAAACCAAATGTGGTACATGCATACAATGGAATATTATTCAACTTGAAAAAAGAAGGAAATCCTGGCACAGGCTACCACATGGATGAGCCTTCAAGACATGATGCTGAGTGAAATAAGCCAGTCACAAAAGGACAAATGCTGTGTGATTTTACTTACATGAAGCACCTAGAGTAGTCGAGTTCATAAGACAGAAAGTAGAAGGTGGTTTCCAGAGGCCTGGAGAGGGGAACGGGGAGTTATCGTTTAATGGGAATGGAGTTTCAGTTGAGGAAGATGAAAAAGTTCCAGAGATGAACAATGGTAATGGTAGCACAACAATGTCAATGTACTTAATACTACTGAACTGTACACTTTAAAATAGTTAAAATGGCAAATTTTTTGTTATATTTATCCTGCCACAATATTTTAAAAAGCGGCAGGCGCGGGTAGAAGCAAGCTATGAAGAAGCTGGGCCAGAGCTGTGGGGACCTGGCAGCTGGGGGGCATGGCATGGGAGCAGGAGGGCACTGAGGACGTCTGTTCTCAGGGGATAACGTGGAACTTCCCAGGAGCGGCCCTGGACAAGTCAAAGCGTACCTCCCACTGAGTCAGGGGAGTGTGGGCCGCTCAGAGGGAGAGGCAGGACAGTACAGCAAGATCCCATTCATGTAAGGGAGATAAAACACTAAACAAGACTCTATGCTCCCATAGGAACACTCATATTTCCTAGAAGATCTGGAAGCATACTCCTGACTGTGGTTTTCATTGAGAAAAGGCTTGGAACTTGCAGTAAAGGAAAAGTTTAGCATTACCTGAATGTTTGATTTTTTAACACCAAGACTATATTTGGGTATTCATATCAAAATAACTTAAGTTTAAATGAGAAAAATTGGCTAGGTGCGGTGGCTCACACCTATAATCCCAGTGCTTTGGGAGGCCAAGGCAGGAGGATTCCTCGGGCAACATAGTGAGACCTCGTCTCTACAAAAATAAAAAATAATCAGCCAGAGCTGTGATCTCACCACTGCACTCCAGCCTGGGTGACAGAGTGAGACCCTGTCTCAAAAAAAAAAAAAAAAAAAAGAGAGAGAGGTAGAAAGAGAAAAGGATGGTGCAATAGTTTCTTAGTCTTAACCAGACTCATTAACAAAAATAGTAGGGTCTATTTTGTTTGACAACATCCACCAAAGGTTCAAGTTCTATTAGTTTTCATATACTTAAAAAAAAATCCCTCAGAAACATCCCCTTGACACATCTTTGGGGAACATGGAATGTGGAGAATTGTTTCTGTTCCTCTCCCACACCCCACCCCACCCCACCCCACCGCACCCCACCCCACCCCATGCCAACATTCTGCATCTCTGTACATCAGGGAGCCACTGGCCTTGTCAGCCTTCACACTAGGCCCACCCTGTCTCTGCTGCGGATCAGCAGCCAGTCTCCGCCTGTTGGAACTGTCTCTTGTTGTGTTTCAGATGTTAAGACGTTGTGAGAAAAGTGTGGAACTAGGAGTCAAGGAAGCTTCAGTCCTGGCTCGGCCACTTACTTATTGTTCAAAGTTGGCTTTTTATTTAAATCTCTGTGTTTCTGTTTTCTTGCTTAGAAATTGTTACAATCTATGGCTATCATAAGGTTGATAGGAGAATACAGATATTTAAGGTAGTCTGCATAGGCCAGGAATAGTGGCTCGCGCCTGTAATCTCAACACTTTGGGGAGCCGAGGTGGGAGGCTCTCTTGAGCCCAGGAGGCCAAGGCTACACTGAGCCGTGTTTGTGCCACTACACTCCAGCCTGGAGCCTGGGTGACAGAGCCAGACCTTATCTCAAAAAAAAAAAAAAGAAAAAAGACATTTTGTCTTTGGGAAATAAACACTGAAGATTAGCTTCAAATGGACAGTGGTATGGATGTGACACTTGCTTCTCCAACTAAGTTATAAGCTTATCCAAGGCATTGTCCACTGTGGCTCCCGTAGTTTTTAGACTTGTCTTCCTTGGTGATCTTGCTTTGATGTGCTATGAAAGGCTGTCCCAGCAGATGGCAGAAGAGAACTGAGTCAGGAAAAACCAGCCTGGGTGTTTGAGTGTGCACTGTGAACTGGGTAAAGCTTCTGCACCTTAATGTCCCTGCTGCAGTAGCGCTCCATATCGACTTAACCATCACTACCGAACTTCCCTAATAAAGGTGGGTCAGCAAAGGCGTGAGGGTTACCACTCAATCAAAACACCATGTCACTGAGACTCACTTAGGAAGAACTTTCATTTCCTGAGCACTTCCGTAGTGCTGGAAACAGGGATGAATACAAAATAGTCCCTGTCCCCCGAGTTCACAGTCCAGCTGAGATCAAACGAGGACAGAACAATTTGCATTTTGCCGGGCCGTCCTATAACGACAATAATTTCCTGGATGTTTTCAGGTTGCCTGCTTTAGCCATATGTTCTACACTGCCCGCTTCTCTCCAGCCCCAGTCTCAAGTCCAACTCATCATCTCTGGCCTGGGCCACAGCAACAACCTCCTAAGGGAGCTGCCTCTGCTCTTATCCACCTCCAGTTTATTCTTACCATATAGACAAGGTAATCTTTTAAAAATGCAAATGCAATTACACTGCATACCACCTACTCAAAAGATCTAATGGCTTTGTATTGACCTCATAATAATAACCCTACCCTTAATCTTACTTACAAGGCTTTTTGTGATCCGATCCCTGTTTTTCTTCTTCTAACTTTTCTGACCCTCTCCTCTTGCAATCAACTCAAGAGACTGACTTTCAGTTTCCCAAATGATTTTTATCCCCTACTGGATTTGCCCAAATTGCTTTTCTCTCTACCTAGAATGCCTTAAAACTTAAACTTACTCCCTCCCACCTACCCATCTTCCTTAACTTGGCTAACTAGTATTTATTCTTCAGCTCTCAGGTTAGATGTCCTTTCTTTTGGGAAACTATCCCTGACAGTACAAGGCTGGGAGGCATAACTCTCCTGGGTACTCCAGAGCACCCTCTGCTTCCATTCCCGTCGCATTTACCGTATTTCTTCATAATGGGTTTGTGTGTCTTCCCCTGTCTACTGTAAGCTCCTGGCACATGAGGACTTCCTCTCGCACAACAGTGTATCCCCATTTCTTGACACACATCTTGGTACAGAGCAGCACTCGATCAAAACTTATCGAGTAAATGAATAAATACATCATAAAACACAATTGATACCATCCAAGAAGTCATAAAATTCTTGGGGTACAAGATCTTAGGAGAGTAGATCATTCTGTGTGTATCAGCCATATCCCTTTTTTTTTTTTTTTTTTTTTTTTTTGAGACAGAGTCTCACTTTGTCACCCAGGCTGGAGTGCAGTGGCACAATCACGGCTCACTGCAACCTTTGCCTCCCAGGCTCAAGTGATCCTCCTGCCTCAGCCTCCCAAATATCTGGGACTACAGATGCATGCCATCATGCCAAGCTAATTTTTGTATTTTTAGTAGAAATGGAGTTTTGCTCTATTGCCCATGCTGGTCTTGAACTCCTGGAATCAAGCAAGCCACCCACCGCCCCCTTGGCCTCCCAAAGTGTTGGGATTACAGGTGTAAGCCACTGTGCCCAGCCCTCCAAAAAAAATTAATTAGCTGGGCTTGGTGTTGCACACCTCTAGTCCCAGCTACTCCAGAGGCTGAGGAAGGAGGATGGCTTGAGTCCAGGCTACAGTGAGCCGAGAATGCACCACTGTACTCCAGCCTGGGTGACAGAGCGAGACCCTGTCTTAAAAAGAAAGAGAAGAAGAAGAAGAAGAAGAAGAAGAAGAAGAAGAAGAAGAAGAAGAAGAAGAAGAAGAAGAAGAAGAAGAAGAAGAAGAAGAAGAAGAAGAAGGAGGGGGAGGGGGAGGGGGAGGGGGAGGGGGAGGGGGAGGGGGGAGGGGGAGGGGGAGGGGGAGGGGGAGAGGGAGAGGGAGAAGGAGAAGAGGGAAAAGAGGAGGAGGAGGAGGAGAAGGAAGAGGAGGAGGAGAAGAAGGAAGATGAGGAGGAGGAGGAGGAAAAAGGAGGGGGAGGAAGAGGAGGAGATGCAACTAAAACAATAAGAGGAGGAGGAGGGTAAGGGGGGGAGAAGTGGGGGGAGAAGGGGAGGGGAGAAGCGGAGGGGGGAAGGAAGAGGAGAAGGAGAAAATGCAACAGGAGGAAATGCAATTAAAACCACATGAGGAAGGAGGAGGAGTAGGGAGGACGGAGGGGAAGGAAATCCAACTAAAACCACAGGAGGAGGAAGAAGGAGGAGGAGGAAGCAAAGAGGAGGAGGAGGAAGGAGGAGGAGGAAATGCAACTAAAACCACAGGAGGAGGGAGGAGGAAGGTGAAGGGGGAGGAGGGAGGAGGAGAAGAATAAGAAATGCAACTAAAACCACAAGATACCTCTTTTTGCCTGCTGAATCGGCAGAGATCAGAAAGATACGGTAATAATGACAGCTGGACAGGGGAGAGTTTAAGTAAACAGACACTCATCCACTGCTGGGGCTGTAAATTGGAACAACTGTTCTGTAGGGCTACAGCCCTAAAAATGTCCCATGTGTTTCCACCAGAAATTTTATTTCTAGAAATGGATCCTGAAGAAATAATCCAATGTGCAAAATGAATGCATCAATATGCATTGCAGTGGCACTCATACATGGAATATGGAAATTGCCTAAAAGTTCACCCATGAATCCAAACAACTTTCCTCTTGCTCACCCATCAGTCACCTAAGTCCTTCAGGCAAGTGTTAAAAAACAAAGCACCTCTCTGATGGCCAGTGATGATGAGCATGTTTTCATGTGTCTGTTGGCTGCATAAATGTCTTCTTTTGAGAAGTGTCTGTTCATATCCTTCGCCCACTTGTTGATGAGGTTGTTTGTTTTTTTCTTGTAAATTTGTTTGAGTTCTTTGTAGATTCTGGATATTAGCCCTTTGTCAGATGAGTAGATTGCAAAAATTTTCTCCCATTTTGTAGGTTGCCTCTTCACTCTGACGGTAGTTTCTTTTGCTGTGCAGAAGCTCTTTCGTTTAATTAGATCCCATTTGTCAATTTTGGCTTTTGTTACCATCGCTTTTGGTGTTTTAGTCATGAAGTCCTTGCCCATGCCTATGTTCTGAATGGTATTGCCTAGGTTTTCTTCTAGGATTTTTATGGTTTTAGGTCTAACATTTAAGTCTTTAATCCATCTTGAATTAATTTTTGTATAAGGTGTAAGGAAGGGATCCAGTTTCAGCTTTCTCCATATGGCTAGCCAGTTTTCCCAGCACCATTTATTAAATAGGGAATCCTTTCCCCATTTCTTGTTTTTGTCAGGTTTGTCAAAGATCAGATGGTTGTAGATGTGTGTAGATTGTAGATGGTTATAGATTATTTCTGAGGGCTCTGTTCTGTTCCATTGGTCTATATCTCTGTTTTGGTACCAGTACCATGCTGTTTTGGTTACTGTAGCCTTGTAGTATAGTTTGAAGTCAGGTAGCGTGATGCCTCCAGCTTTGTTTTTTTGGCTTAGGATTGACTTGGCAATGTGGGCTCTTTTTTGGTTCCATATGAAATTTGAAGTAGTTTCCAGTGTGGTGATTCCTCAAGGATCTAGAACTAGAAATACAATTTGACCCAGCCATCCCATTACTGGGTATGTACCCAAAGGATTATAAATCATGCTGCTATAAAGACACATGCATACATATGTTTATTGCAGCACTATTCACAATAGCAAAGACTTGGAACCAACCCAAATATCCATCAATGATAGACTGGATTAAGAAAATATGGCACATATACAGCATGGAATACTATGCAGCCATAAAAAAGGATGACTTCATGTCCTTTGTAGGGACATGGATGAAGCTGGAAACCATCATTCTCAGCAAACTATTGCAAGGACAAAAAAAACCAAACACCACATGTTGTCACTCATAGGTGGGAATTGAACAATGAGAACACCTGGACACAGGAAGGGGAACATCACATACCAGGGCCTGTTGTGGGGTGGGGAGGGCAGGGAGGGATAGCATTAGGAGATATACCTAATGTAAATGATGAGTTAATGGATGAAGCACACCAACATGGTGCATGTATACATATGTAACAAACCTGCACGTTGTGCACCTGGACCCTAGAACTTAAAGTATAATAATAATAATAAAAAGAATGGCTAAAAAAACAAACAAACAAACAAACAAATAAAGCACCTGTGATTTAGCCTAAGGAGCCCATCCCAGCCTTTCCCGGGCTTAAGCCTTGCTTTGCCCCATTGTGCTGCACAGGCAGGGCCAGATTGAGCTCTTCGCAGTGGAGCAGCGTGTCCCATCCAGGACCAGAGAAGTGAGCACCTGCTAAGGATGTAACTTGTGCTTTGTTTCTTTGTGTCCAGGAGGAATAGAAAGCATTTTCTGTCTCCCCAGGGACCTGTTTTTTCCTCTAAAATCTGGCTTCTTACCACTCTTGGACACTCAGAGCCTGACATGGTTGGCTCCACCCCTCACCTCCTCACCACCTAGGAAGCCTCTTTTGAGTTGCAGCCACTCAGGCCTTCTTTCAACTCCTCAAACTCTTCATGCCTCCTCTGGCCACACAGTCTTTGCAGATGCAAAGTCTTTGCCCAAAACACTCCTCCCTTCCTCTCCTGCCTGGTTACTTCTGAGCTTGGACGTTTCTGTCTCAGGAAGCTCTTCCTTGGCCTGAGTTTTTACAGACAACCTTGTGCTCTGCATTCCATTTGCAATTTTACATTAATTTATGCAACTGTTTGGTTTCCATCTCTCTCTCCCAAGATTCTTAGCACCACGTGGCAGGAACATGTGTCAGTTGTAGCCCCAGTGTCCTCATGGTGTGTGACGCATGGCTCCAGCCTGGGGTGACACAGCTGAAAGGGGTGGAGTGGTGCTGGCCTGAGTTCCTCCACCATCTTCCTTGGTCCTCCTGCTCTCCAAACCCAGGGGCAGGTCCCCTGTCTCTTACCTTTGTCTCTGTCCACTCTGAACTCTGGGATCCCAGGAGTTGGTTCTCTATTCACCTGTGATCAACATGTTCCTCTCTGACTCTCATCTCCTCAACTGTAGTTTGGAGAGAATAGGAACCACCTCACATGGTTGTGGTGACAATTAAATGAGTTAATATGTTAAGGGCTTATCATGGTGCCTGGCACGTAGTAAGCACTCAATTAATGTTATCTGTTAGTATTGCTGTTGCTGTTATTGTTACTACAAAGCAGGAACAAACAACAGAGTATGGCTGACAATGTAGGGGCACGCGGTAATGCAGTGGTATATGTTATGAGTTGAACGGTGGCCCCCAAAAAGATATGTCCATTTCCTAACCCCGATACCCTGTGAATCTGCCATTATTGTAGATGTAATCAAGGATCTCAAGATGAGATCATCTGAGTGGGGCCTGAATCCAGTAAGTGTCTTTATAGGAGACAGAAAAAAAGACCCCTGAAGACAGAGGCAGAGGTGGGAGTGATGCAGCTGTGAGCCAAGGAATGTCTGAGGCCTGCACGAACTGGAAGAGGCAAGGAGGGACTCTGCCATAGAGCATTTCGAGGAAACGTGGCCCTACCAGCACCTTGATGTCAGACTTCTGGCCTCTAGAACTGTGAGCAAATTTCTGGCATTTTAAGCCAACCAGTTGTTTCAATTTGTTCCTGCAGCCACAGGAAAGCCACCTTCAGAGCAAAATGTTGCTGGCTAAAAATATCCCTGGACCAGGACAGTTGACCTATTAGCCGCACCTTAGGGAAGGGGGGAAGGGCAGGGGGTAGTGGCCCAGCACTGCCTTGTGTTGGTGCTACAGGGGAGCTCAGGCCTGAGGACCTTCTGGAGGCCAGGCGCTGGAGGTGCCCTCTTCACTGTGGAGGCCTCAGCAAGTTCCTTCCCCTCTGTAGGCCTCACCCCCACCCCCCACTTGGTGTTTTGCGTGTCTCTGTGAGTCTCAGGGATACAACACCCCCATGTGACCAAATCCTCTGAGGTCAGGTCTGGCAAAGCCAGGAGCAGCCTCTGGGGTGAAGCAGATGCTCACCTGCCGCTCCCTGCGCTGCCCAGGACTTCCCGGCCCAGACCTCCGGAGCTAACGGCTAACAGCTAATGTAGCCAGAAAATGAGCCCTCTCACTCTGCGTTCCCCTCTCCCCAGATAGACTTGAGGAGAATGGGATCTAGTGGCTTCCTTTCTGTGGGGTATTTCCAAAGCTTCCCTGCGGTCAGCTGAGGGGCACCAGGCAGAAGCATGTGTCTGGGCAACAGGTCCCTGTCTGTTGCCAGGCAAGCCTAAGGGGGTCCATGGAGGGCTTTGTGTCCAGGACCTCTGGGTGGCAACACCAGCAGGGCCAGCAGTTTCTGAAGGGGCTGCCCTCCCACACCTCCTCATTCCCACTCTAACCACATGTATGTGGTTATGGGCATGTGTGTGAGCAGGGCTGGGGAGGCAGGAGCAGCTGCTTGAGTGACACCAAGAACAACTTTGTGAACATGGACACGCCAGCTGAAAGGAAACCCAGGTTCATTAAGTCCAGTACTCTCATTATACAGCCAGAAAACTGAGGCCTGGAGAGAGGAGGGACTAAGGTTATACCTTGATCACCAGCTAAGCTGAGCCGGGAATCCAGGCTCCCTGTCCGCCCCTGGGAAGTGTGCGTTTACAATGCGCATGCTTGGGATAAGGCTGCCCTATGTGTAGGTTGAAGGGTTGCCGTGAGCCTATCCATGCAACAGTCCGTGCCTGACAGCGCTGGGTGTTCATTTGGGTTCACCCTGTGGGGACTATGTTTAACCTGATGGTTAAACCTTGAGAGCTGAGGAGGAGGAGGAGGAAGAGGAACAGGAGGGGTGGGCGAGGAGGGAGTTCGCAGCTGAGCAGGATCAGGAGAGGACCCTGGAGGACTGTTCTTCAGTAGATGGGCAAGCTCTGTTCTCTCGTGGGGACTTTCAGTTCTTCCCCTTGGGAAATTATTCTAGGCTCCTAACATGCCTCAGACCACAGATCTAAGACATACCTACAAGAGCACTCCAAGGAGAGTAGCGCCAACTCCCTCCCACCCCGGTGAGCACCGCCGGGTCAGCACTGTGGGGCGAGTGCTCAGAGCCCCAGACCAGATGAAGGACCAGCATCTGCTGGACGATGGACTCAAGTGTGCAGAATACAGTGCTAGGCCCTACAAGGAGTTCAGTAAAGGGAGTAAAGAAAACATAATTTACCATTTCTTTTTAATTTTTTTATTTTCTTTTTTTTTCTTTTTTTTTTTTTTTTTGAGAAGAAGCCTTGCTCTGTCACCCAGGCTGCAGTGCGGTGGCATGATCTCGGCTCAGGGCAACCTCCACCTCCTCAGTTCAAGCAATTCTGCCTCAGCCTCCCGAGTAGCTGGGATTACAGGTGCGCACCATGCCTGGCTAATTTTTGTATTTTTCATAGAGATGCAGTTTCACCATGTTGGCCAGGCTGGTCTCGAACTCCTGACCTTGGCCTCCCAAAGTGCTGGGATTACAGGCATGAACCACTGCACCCAGCATAATTTACCATTTCAATGCGTTGAGACTCCAACCCCGTGGGAAACTGCCTGATATGAAAGCCTTTTCAGAAAGCTGGTAAATGTATACAGAGCTTCATGGCCTAAGTAATTTTCTGATAAGGGGTGAAAACACAGCGAGTGGTTTGGGTGAGGAAGGAGGAGGCAGGCTTGAAGCAGGACCTTCAGGAAGGGGAGGGGGAATGCCTGACCTTAAAGAGAGGGAGGGTTGTGCCTGGAAAGTACAGTGGTGAGTGCCAGGGGCCCAGGCCCTGGAGCCCCCAGCCTGCTCCACAGTCTGTGATCTCCCTTGGAGCTGCGAAAGCCTTTACTGGTCTCTACTGCGAGCCAGTTTTTTAAAAGGGACACATTGTCATTGTACATATTGTATGTACAAATTGTACCTACTGTATGTACAATTTGTACCTACTGTATGTACAAATTGTACATACAATATGTACAAAGTGTACATATTGTATGTACAAAGTGTACATAGGGTACAATTTGATGTTTCAATACAGATATGCTTCGTAATGATCAAATCAGGGAGGTAGCACATCCATCCCCTTATGCATGGGTCATTTCTTATAGGCAATGAAGTACTATTCAGCCATAAAAAGGACAAAATCCTGTCATCTGGAACCACATGGATGAACCTGGAGGACACCATGTTAAGTGAAATAAGCCAGGCACACATAGACAAATAGCCCATGATCTCACTCATATGTGGAGTCTTTAAAAAAAGTGAACTCAGGGCCGGGCGAGGTGGCTCACACCTGTAATCCCAGCACTTTGGGAGGCCGAGACAGGAGGATCACTTGAGGTCAGGAGCTCAAGACCAGCCTGGCCAACATGGCGAAACAGCATCTCTACTAAAAATACAAAATTAGCTGGGCGTGGTGGCGTGCACCTGTAATCCCAGCTACTCAGGAGGCTGAGGCGGGAGAATCACTTGAACCCGGAGGCAGAAATTGCAGTGAGCTGAGATCATGCCACTGCACTCCAGCCTGGGCAACAGACCCCATCTCAAAAAAAATAAATAAATAAAAATAATTTTTAAAATGTGAAGTCAGGAACCACCGGAGCATTCAGTGGTACCCCGTGGAGTAAAGCAGCTGTCACAGACCCTCCCCTGTGGCTTGACCTGTGCTGCCTCCCCTATTCCAGGATGTTTTTCCAGAAACAACTCCTTTTATCATTTGGTTCTGTCTTGTTTCTTGGGATGCTGTCCTGGAGTGGATTCTCAGTCACTCTCTACACTGCGTGTAGCTCCCCTCTTAGACTGGGTGAAGGAGGCACAGAGAGAGAAGGAAAGAAGCAAAACAGACTCCCAGCAGTGAGACCTTTTTCTATACAGGTTTTATGTATTTGAGTCCGGGAGCTTTCTTTTTTAATTGTGGTGAAATACATGAAACATAAAACTTACCACTTCAACCATTTTCAAGTGTATGATTCAGCGGCATTAAGTACACTCACAGTGCTGTGTAACCATCACCACTAATCACTGCAGAACCTCTTCATCCCTCCAAAAGAAACCCCGTACCCACGAAGCAGTCACTTCCAATTCCGCACCTTCCCCAGGCGCCGGTTGCCACTCATCTGCTTTCTGTCTCCGTGGATTTGCCTGTGTGTCAAGATGTTTTGATCTTTATGTTCCACTTAAAATGCAAATAACCATAGGAGAACCCACAATCTACACTTTCAATTCCATTAATTTCGACAATACCCACCCTTACCCACCTCCATAGTTTAGAAATTACTATTATTATCGTTTTAGAGACACGGTCTTGCTCTGTCACCCAGGCTGGACTGCAGTGGCTCAATCACAGCTCACTGCAGCCTCGAAGTCCTGGGCTCAAACAATCCCCCTGCCTCAGCCTCCCAAGTAGCTGAGACTACAGATGTGTACCACCACGCCTGGCTAATTTTTTGATGTTTTATAGAGACAGGGTCTCAAACTGCTGCCCAGGCTTGTCTCAAGCTCCTGGTCTCAAACAATCCTCCCACTTCAGCCTCTAAAAGTGTTTGGATTACAGGCATGAGCCAATGAGCCCAGCTAGAAATGATGGAATCCCTATGTGTTATGGGGAAAACACTAGCGTGGAAGTTCAGAGACCAGGGTTCTAGCTCATTCTGTCCAAAATTATGTGCTCTTTTGTGGATGAGGGTCCCTGACTCGCTTTAGGCCTTAACATCCCCATCCTGAGGCATGGGAGGTGGACTTGGCTAATCAATTCCAGGGCCCTCTGCGGCTCTGACCCTCTAATGCCATAGCAGCAGTCCCCTGACCTGGCAGAGCACAGGGTGGGTGGGACCTGCAGGACTGGGTGCCAGAGGAAGCCAGGCCTGGGGATGGGGGCAGCACTGGGGAGGGCTCAGACTTGACCTGCCTCCCCCACCACTAGGCCCGGGGCCAGCCCTGTCCACATGAGCTTCCTGGCTGGTTCAAAGCCCCAGGCAGACTCTGCAGGTGGGATGTGGGAGTCCCCATCATAATGCCTGCTCTGGGGTGAGCCTCCTGGGGGCCTCAAGCAGAGGCCTTCCTGGGCAGGCTGAGGCAGGACAGGGCAGAGCAGGCCTGGGGGCACAGGAAGGAAGGGACAGAGGTTGGGACAGGGCAGCTGCAGAGTGGGGTGCAAGATCCTCAACCCAGAGGCTCCCTAGGCCCCACTTGCCCCAGCTCTTGAAAGCCTGGTTCTGAGCTCTGCCAGGACTGGGGCTCAGCACTGCCCATGGAAACAGGCATGGCAGCGAAGAAAATCATAACCAAATATTTGTAGTCACCTCTCTCCTCCCTTCTGGAAAGGGAGGGTCCCTGGTTTGTGGGCTCTTGGCCTCCTGGACATTATTCTGTAGTGAAGGGAGAAAGGTTGAGATGCAGAGTTGGAGAAACTAACAGAGGCCAAACTGGTCCATTTGAGGAAAGATGGGGGATCCCAGGAGGGGAGGAGGGGACACCCTGGGGAACCGGGGGCCTTCTCAGGTGGTCCAAGTAGGGGAGGGCAGGACACAGAAAGTCAGAACATGGTTTTGAGTTTTGGAGACAAGAGAAAAGAGGGAGTGATTTGGACAACTGGAGAAGATCAGGCTGGGGAGAGAAATGTTTAGAGATTTGGAAGATAGTGTGTCGTGCGATGTATTGTGAAAACCCCTTCTTCATATCCGTAAAAAACCACCACTGATGATGCGTGATACAATTCAGTGCTTTTGCAGACGGACTGGTGCCTTTTTAAAATAATAAGAATGCATTGGCTTGGCTCCATCTGAATTAGTAGAGACAGACATCTTGAGCAGGTTTTATCAGTGTTCCATTAGCTAAATATTGGGTTTCCTATTTTGTGGCTTGGCTTAAACCACTTTGTAGGCCCTTCTGCACTGGAAGGCACCTCAAAAATCACCTCTTTGGCCTGCAGCTCCATGTCCCCAAACTCTTGGCTTTCCTAAATGAGTGGCCTCATTCAGAAGATAATACAGCATCCCTCATCTGAAAATCAAAATCCAAAACTGTTTGAGTGCCGACATGATGTTCGAAGGCCAGGTTCAAAGGAAATGCTCATTGGAGCATTTTCGATTTCAGATTTTCGAATTCCAAAATCTGAAAAAATCCGAAATCCAAAATACTTCTGTAATTGTAACCTGTAATAGCCATTGGGTCCTGACCTTCCAGCTGAGGCAGCCAGCAGTCAACAGAGGCTCACCATGCACCCATCCTGCCCCTCACCCTCCCACGGGCTTGTGCCTCACCCCCCAGCCTCCCTTGCATCTGCTGGGAAGGGGACACAATGCTTCTGCCCTGCCTTCTTGGATCTCAGACCACTGTGACAATTGCAGGATTCCAGCCAGGGAAAGTGCTACAGGTAGAGGTACTTAGTACTCTCCATAGAAAAGGTTCCAGCAATGGCACAGCAGCCCCGGAAGGGTCTGTGACAGTCTCCACTCCTCCAGCTCTGGTCCCTGCCTCTTAGGGAGCTTCTCAGCACTGCCCTCAGAGTCGGAGGGGGAGGTCCAAACCTCAGACTGAGGTACCTGCTTCTCCTCCTCCCCCATGACCTCCCTGTGGCCTCTGACCCCGCTGTGAAATGAGGGTGGTAATGTCTCCTTCAGTGGGCTGTTGGGAGGTCAGAGAGAATGGATACAAAGTGCTGCACACAAAACCCAGCACTGGGAGGTGCCCCATCCATGACACCGTGAATCCCTGTCCACAATGCAGTGCATGAGAAATTTCATCCTAAAGTCCTTGATTTTAAATGCAACACTTGAGTTTCTGAATTCAAGGTCCCTTTCCTGGGCAGTCAGCTGTGCCTCAGTGCTCTGGTTCTATGTGAAGTCAGGGGATTGGGATGCAGAGAGACACCTCGTCCTCAGTCATCCTTCCACCTTGATCACCACTGAGATATCCATCTTTTCTAGCCATTGTTTCTGTTCTGTGGCAGGCCTGGGATCACCCAGACACACCACACTGTTGCTGCGGGTGGCAGGAAATGTCATGGGAGAGGGTCAGGGTCCCCCTGGTGCCCACCATCTCCTCCCTCCCTCCTTCCCCTCTACTACTTGCTCCCCAGCAGCAGTGAAGTTTGGAGCTGCTGCTGGCTACAATGATGGGGAAGGGCAGGGAGGAGAAAAAAAGGGACAGCATTAGGAGATATACGTGATGTTAAATGATGAGTTAATGGGTGCAGCACACCAACATGGCACAGGTACACATATGTAACAGACCTACACATTGTGCACATGTACCCTAAAACTTAAAGTATAATGGAAAAAAAAAAAAAACCTCTCAGCTGGACGTGGTGGCTCACGCCTGTAATACCAGCACTTTGGGAGGGCTAGGCAGATGGATCACCTGAGCTCAGGAGTTCATGACCAGCCTGGCCAACATGGTGAAACCCCGTCACTACTAAAAATAAAAAAAAATTGCCAGGCATGGTGGCGGGCATCTGTCATCCCAGCTACTAGGGAGGCTGAGGCAGGAGAATCGCTTGAACCTGGGAGGTGGAGGTTGCAGTGAGCCGAGATCATGCCACTGCACTCCAGCCTGGGCAACAGAGCGAGACTCCGTCTCAAAACAAAAAATAAATAAATAAAATAAAAATGAAAAATAAAAGGAAGATGGGGCAGCTTTGTGTACTGCACGTCCCGAAAATGGGCAGACTGACCTCAAGAGGCAGAGATTCAAGCTCTCTAGCCTACGTGGAAAACATACAGGAGAAAAAAGAAGAAAAAGAAAAAATATATAAATATAAATAAATGAAAATAACACTTCTCCCTGATTATAAAGGAAATCACATTCCTTTTGTAATAATTTGGATGACAAAATATAAAGAAAAATTTTTAATTTTGCCACTCAAAACATTCTGGTGTGTTGCTTTTTACACTTTTGTGTGCACATAAACATTTTAAAAAGTAGAATCATAATATATAGCCTTTTGTCACTTACTATATTTTGGGCATGTCTCTATGGCAGAAATATATCCTGGCATCATCATTTTTAATAGCTGGCTGTTAATTCCTGGTGAATAGCTGGTGAAATTCCTTCTATATACATTTTTAATAGACTTGAGCAAGCATTTTTGGACTGAATTCATAGAAGAAGAATTTCTGGAGGAAAATAACATAAAACAGTTTTAGGGTTTTTAATAGAAATGTTCAAATTATCCTGTAGGAAAATTGGTTCAGTTTATAATCCCACCAACAGAGACAGAGCTCCAGGTTCCCCTTCTATTTGTCATCTTTGCTGGTCTTTAAGCAGAAAATCTCATTGTTTTCATGACATTTCTTTGATTTCTAGTGCTTTTTAATCTTTTTCATATGCTCATTGGCCATTTTTATTCTTGTGAGAAGTTCCCGCGTCTCCATTGCCCACTTTCTGTTAGAAATCATTCCTTTTTTCTGAGTAATTTTTTTTTTTTTTTTTTTTTTTTGAGGCAGAGTTTTGCTCTTGTTGCCCAGGCTGGAGTGCAATGGCGCCATCTCAGCTCACCACAACCTCCGCTTCCCAGGTTCAAGGTGGAAAAAACTCAAAACTTAAATTTCCTGTTGAATGCAATTTGAAAATATAGCCAATGATTCCACTTTTCTTCTCTAGTAAGGTTGGACATTCTGATCTACTTGGTGTTTTATTATAGAACTCCTAGTGTGCCTGAGTCTTACATTGTGAAGATACTTTTCTGAAACTTTACATGTAAGAGAATATATATGATATTGGATGAGATCAGGCTGGATGAGAACTGATACCTGTAGATATACTTTTTAGACAAAATCTCCGATTGCCACTCGTTTTCTTATTTAACTCATAAAAATAAAACACATTGGATGGAGGGTAGGAGTAGGAAGGATATTTATATGTTTTAATTGCAAGTCATTGTTTCATATCAATACAGAACATATGGTATCCCTGGCTTTGGACCTACAGAAGGAAACACATTTTTCTACCTGGCGTATGCCAGAGGTTCTTGAACACCTGGAGGGATTACTGCAGCCCTGGGGTGGTGAGAGCCCCATCCAGCTGGGGCCATGGCCTAGGGATCATGCCGGGTATGGGGAGGCTCCAGCCAAGAGCCGAAAAATTTGAGTCCTTGTTCTTCTCCTGCCATAGAATCCTCTAGAGACTGCTAAAAATCTACAAATTGAGGCCCTGCCATGGACCTGGGGAATCAGAATCTGAAGGTTAGGGCTTAAAATTTTTTTTCATAAAGCATCATGGATGAAAACCATTATTTTATAGATTACATTTATATGGCTAGCTCATGAGTCTGTTTATTTCCTTCTGAGGTTCAAGCCAACACTTTCACTATTTCCTGGTAATAGAGTTGTGATCTTTTTTTTTTCTTTTTTTGAGGTGAGGTCTCGCTCTGTGACCCAGGCTGGAGTGCGGTGGTGCTATCTCAGCTCACTGCAACCTCCACCTCCCAGGCTCAAGCTATTCTCCTGCCTCAGGCTCTCAAGTAGCTGGGACTACAGGTGCGTGCCACTGCACCTGGCTAATTTTTGTATTTGTAGAGACGGGGCTTCGCCATGTTGCCCAGGCTGGTCTGGAACTCCTGAGCTCAAGGAATCCACCCGCCTCAGCCTCCCAAAATTTTGGGATTACAGGCATGAGCCACCATGCCCAGCCTGAGATCTCTTTAAAATTATTCAATTTTTTGTATCTAAAGCAAAGCAACTTGACAGAGACCTTATTGACTGAGTTGTACATTGAGCCTAGCCCTAGCCCTTTTAAAGGCGCTGTGTGGAACAGTCCGGGCTCCCCAGATAGAAATGTCTCCTGTTTCACCATCCAGTTGTCTAGATGCTGCAAAGCCCTGGATGCTAACCAGCAGTTACAGCAGGCCATGGAGGAGCGGGCACAGCTGGAAGCATACCTGGGGCACGTGAGGCTTTGCAGAGGGAGGGACGTGGAAGGAAGATGACCCCAGGTGGCCAGGAGTATGTGAGGACCAGTGACAGCCCTTCCTAACTTCTGTGTCAATTCTCGCAGGTGATGGAGTGGCTGCAGTATCTACAAATGGAGAGACGAGTACGCTGAGTATCTCCATGGAGAGCATGCCGCGTGTGGCAGAGGATGCAGGAGATGTTGGAGCAGGTGAGACCTGACGCTTCAGTCCCCGCCTTGGAGAGGTCGCTTGATCGTTCTGACCATCTGTGCAATGGGAAGAGCACAGCCAGAGGTGGTCATCGGTCTGGGCTTTGTGGAGGTGGGGGCAGAGAGGGAGATGGTAGCCTGTCCAGCCACCAGCCCCTCTCTCCAGGGCCCTTTCCCCCTGTATTTTGGGCAGGTTCACACATTGAAGGAGGAGAAGAAGCATGACATGCGTCAGGTAGAGGAACTGGAGACAAGCTCAGCTCCACTGCTCACCACTGAACGAAGAACCAGATGGGTGAGCTGGGGCTGGGGTGACCTCGAAGCAGGACTGGCATCAGAGGGCTGTGGGGGTGGCTTAGAATGCCCCAGGGAGGTGGGTAAATGGAAGGGCTTTGAGGCACAGGGAAAGAGGTGGGGACATGGCAAGTCTTGTCATCTCCATGAGCCTCAGTGTCCCCATCAGCAAAGAGGGAGGAGTGCTGATTGTCAGCCACCCACAGTGCTATCTAAAAGTGGCTTGGAAGATTGGCTACCACCCGGGTGCAAGGAATCATTAGCAGGGAGGCCAAGTTTGGGGAGCCTGAGAGGAGCTGTGCACCAAGAGGAGGGTTTTTTGAGAATCCAGAGGCCCTTATTGTCTGCTTCCTTTCTCAGCTGAACCCCTACACCTGGAGCCCCCAGCAGGACCCTTGGAGGTGGAGCAGCAGCTACAAGCGGAGATCAAGCACCTGCGGAAGACGCTGGAGAGTCTGGCAGGACAGCTCCAAGCCCAAGTGGAAGCCAATGAGGGCTCGAGTCACCTGAACCGGCAGCAGGACGAGAGGCTGCGGGAGTGGAAAGCAGAGCTCTGGGAGGAGCAGGGGGAGACGGGCAGGTCCTCCGTGCAGAAAGACCGCACCACCATCAGCCACGCGCTCTCCCAGAATCACCAGCTCGAGGAGCAGCTGGCCAAGGTGAAGCAGATGGTAACCCCCGCCCCATCGAAGAAGGGCTAGGAGGCGGGCACCAGTCTCTGGGGAAGGGAGGTGCGAGGCCAGAGGCAGCTCTAGCCTGGGGGACAGGTGACCCCAGCACCCTCCAGGGCAGTGCTGTGATTGTTTCTTGCTTCCTGCCCTCTGACTTTTAGAGGTGGGTAGCCCTGGGCTCCTCCCAGGTCTGGACGTCATCATCCCAGCTAGAGGCATGGAGCCCCCCAGTCATAGGGAAAGAGGCAATGGTATAAGAGCCTCCTTAGATTCAAACTGAATTCTGGCCTCGGATCCACTGCTCACCATTGAACTACTTTGCATCTCTAAGTCTCAGTTTATTTCACTTCAAAAGGAAGTGAGCTTTTTCTTCGCAGAGGTGCTGAGGGTTAAATTAGATAATACGTGGAAACATTAGGCATGTAGCACACTTAGCAGATGGTGGTTGGCTCCCTCTGCTTTTCCTCCAGTCTGTGGCCTGCAGTTTAAATGGTGAGAAAAGGGTGTGAGATTTGAGGCTGGGGAAGGAGGCATGGGGCTCTAGGCAAGTAGGGGCAGTCACTTAGGCCTGGAGCAAGGGGCCAGGGACCTGGGCAGGTGACAGAGCCCCACAGTGCCCTCTCTACCCTATTAATGGGCCCAGAATCTGGAAGCCAGCCACCAGCTGCCCTCATGCCCAGGGACTTCCTGCAGGTGGAGCTGGAGAGCCAACAGGCTCAGAGTCTGCAGCGGCCTCGAGGCCAGTACCTGGGTCACCTGCAGCAGTACGTGGCCACTTAGCAGCAGCAGGTGGCAGCCTATCAGCAGCTGACCTCTGAGAAGGAGGCGCTGCACAGGCAGTTACTGCTGCAGACCCAGCTCATGGACCAGCTGCAGCAGCAGGAAGCTCAGGGCAAAGCAGTGGCCGAGATGGCCCACCAAGAGCTCAAGGAAACTCAGGCAAGGGAGTTACTGAGGGCGGGGCCCCGAGGGGGACGACCTGCCAACCTCTGTGCCTTCTCATTCTCTTTCCTGGCCCCTTAGGAGCGCCTGGAAGCTACCAGCCAGCAGAACCAGCAGCTACAGTCCCAGATGAGCCTCATGGCTCTCCCTGGGGAAGGTACGGGACACCACTCAGAGGAAGAGGAGAGAGCCCCAGGAGGAAAGGGGGACTGTTAGCACTGTAGGATTGAGGAGTTGGAAGAGACCTTTAAGACAGCTGGTCATTATGCTGACCGGGTGTCTGCACTAAGTTTGGCATCAATATGGTGACCTCCTGGGAGCGGGGACCACCAGGTTGCCTAAGGATGGGATCCAGGTCAGAAAGGGAGCAGGTCAGAACTCCCGCACCGATGGCTAGTGGGACTGTGCCTGGGCAACATAGCGAGACATTGGCTCTTAGAAAAAAAAAATGAAAATAGAGAACAGCTGCTCATTCCTCTCTGGGAAGGGGCCGGCCCAGGGTTACACAGTGAGGGTGGGGACAGAGATGGCCCACTGTACCTCCCTTGTTGAGTTGTCCGAGGACCCCTCTGGCCACCCCTCACAGGCGATGAACTGGGCAGTAAGGAGGAGGAGGAGGCGCCTCAGCCCATGCCGAGCATCTTGGAGGACCTGAAGAGCCGGGAGGCCATGGTGAGCCTGACTCCCACTGCCCCACCTTTGCTGCCTCCCTCTGTGGTCCCTCCCAGACCCCCTTTTGCTCTTTGTTTCCTGCCCTCTGATTTCTCTGGACCCTCGTGCCTTCCCTGGGAGCCAGTGATCAGACATCATTTCACCTGTGACCCACAGGTGCACCCTCTGAGGCCCCAAAGGAAGACCTCCTCTCCCCCTCCCTGCCGCGTTTGTCCTGTGTATCCCCCTACAAGAATGCATATGTCTTGCCTGCAGGTGGCCTTTTTAAACTCAGCTTTAGTCAGTGCCGAGGAGGAGCAGCAGGCACAGCTACATGGGCAGCTGAAGGAGCAAAGGGTGTGTTGCCAGCACCTGGCTCACCCAGTGGCCTTGGCCCAGAAGGAGCCAGAGGCGGCAGCCCCAACCCCAAGGACCGGGGGCGATTCCGCGTGTGGGGAGACCCACCGGGCTTTCTCCATGTTGGCCAGGCTGGTCTTGAACTCCTGACCTCAAGTGATCTGCCCTCTTCGGCCTCCCAAAGTGCTGGGATTACAGGCCTAAATCACCACACCCAGTCCAATGAAGACTTTTTTACAATTTGCAGTTCAGGCTGTGGAAAATTTGAGCTACAAATTAGCAAGAGTTTACTCTTCACATGAATGTTGTCAGATTCATCTTTTAATAATTGGTGTTTATATTTTCATTTAATGTCATCCACTTTTCTACAGGGTATGGACAGTGGATTTGCAGGTGGAGAAGACAAAATTTATAATGTTTACGATCAAGCCTGGAGAGGTGGTAAATAAAGATATGGCCCAGAGTATTTATAGGTCTGGTAAAAACCTGGACAAGGATATGTATGGTCATGACCTAGAAGCCAGAAGAAAGACCAACAGGTATCAAGCCATACAACTCTGTTTCAGTGTTTACACCAGTGAAAATAAAGTAGTTCATAGTCTTTTCTCTTGTTCCCTAGATTTGTTCCCAACAAGGAGTTTTTCAGACCATAGACAGAGAAGCCGAGAGGCTGAGAAGGACCAGTTCAGTTTGAGGAAGATTCTTTTGATTTGGACACATTTTTGGAAGAAGCCAGACAGCATGGTGGCCCTCAAAGACCCTCAGCAGCTGCCCCAGAGAACATGAGCATGAAGGCAAGAAGAGGAGGAAGGAGCAGACACACGTCTCTTCAAAGCAAATGAACTGTGATCATCCATAACCCTAATGATGCAAGTGCTGTGGCACGACACTTTGTGAATGGTCAGGATACAAACCAAATCTGGATTCTACTTTTTATTATTGGAGAAGGCAAGGGTGGGGAGGGGGCGGGGATAGAAAATTTTACTTTGAATTATTTAGTTTTTTTAAAGAGTGGGTTGTATTTGTGCTTCTCCCACCTTTCAGCATTTGTAGAACATGCTGGCCCACATACACAATCAAGACCACTTCCTTCTGTGTGACACTAGCAGTTCGGGTTAATATTTTGTGTAAGAACAGCTGCTTATGAGTCAAGTCACCCCAACGGCAGTGAGGAGGAGGATGTTCACATATTGGTACTGTCCTGCCAAATAAATGTGGCCCCTGTTGCGCTGTGTTTTAATTCGGAGTGGGGAAAAGAAGCTCTTGCTTTGTTTCAAATGAAAACCTTTAGACAAAATTCTCGGTTATGTTTCCTTTATGTAATAGGCTGGGAGAGTCTCAAAAATCTTCCTCTTCACCAGATGTTTGCAAAACTTTAGGCCTTTGAGCTTGAACCTGGAGCTGGAAAAAAATAAGCACTGTAAGGAAGGAAAGGCAATGTCTGCAAAAACATTCGATCTGAAAATCGCCTTTTTATGAGGGAGTCAGTGAAAAGAACTCAGGCAGTTTTTATGTGCACCTTGTTCTTTTATTTGTTTTCTCCTCAAACTCCCTTTACCATCTTTGTTGTTCCTATGACTCCCTCACCCTCCATTAAAAATTGTAAATTGGGCAAGTCACAGTGGCTCAGTCCTATAACCCCAGCACTGTGGGAGGCTGAGGCAAGAGGACAGCTTGAGGCTAGGAGTTCAAAACTAACCTGCAGCATAGAAAGGCCCAGTCTCAACGAAAACAAATAAATTAAAAAATAAAATATAAATCAATCTGGCCCAAGATCGCATAATAAGCAGGAAAGGCAAGATTTCAGCCCCAGCTTACCTGACTTGAGAAGTGCGCTGCTGTGTGCACTGTGTTCTGTATATCTTGCTAACAATTACAGGTCTTCTTGTACTTCTCCTTTAAAACTGGGAACTCTTCCACCCCAGCATTCTAACAAGCATGAAGGCAGCTTCAGTTACAAATCTCTCAAAGTCCCCATCGTTCCACATTTATGATCTATTTAATTGATACATAATCAGATAGTAGCTGCATGTATATCATAGATGTATCTGGTATACAAACAGATTGACTTGACTCCATCTAGAATATGATTTTCCTGTTGTAGTGCATTCTGAAGTTCTTCTGAAGAAAACTGAACCCAACCCGAACCTCTGTGAAAGCCAGTCTCCTTGTCCTAGAACTTCAAAATATGGGAAAAGATTAATCATGAACTTGAGAAAGTTTCCATGAGCTCCAAATCAAACTGCCAAATTTTTCATCGGCCACAATCGGGTTGATTATTTATTGTTTGAGACAGCGTCTCGCTCTGTGACCCAGGCTGGACTGCAGTGGTGTGAACATGACTCACTGCAGCCTCAACTTCCTGGGTTCAAGGGATCCTCCCACCTCAGCCTCTTCAGTAGCTGGGATCATAGGTGCGCACCACCATGCCTGGCTGATGTTTTGTATTTTTTGCAGAGATGGTGTCTTGCCATGTTGCCCAGGCTGGTTTCAAACTGCTGGGCTTGAGCAATCCTCCCACCTGGGCCTCCCAAAGTGCTGGAATTACAGGTATAAGCCACTGTGCCCAGCCTCAAATCAGATTCCAGACATTTAGAAATGTCAGCAACCTTGCTTCATACCCTTCCTCGTTACCCAAGGCTAAATCCCTATGTTCATGAACTTACTCTGTTTTCCTCACTGCCATAGAAAAGATATGGGTAATGAGTTTCTGTGTCATTCTAGATGCAAACCATATTAACAGTAATAGCCAAGGGAGATTTTGATCAGAACTCTTGTTTCTAACCTCATTTCTAGAAACTAGAAAATTAGGCCTCAAAACCTAGGCGCACCTATGATCATTTCTGAGCCCAGTCACCCTCAACACCAGCACTACCATCATCACATGTTCCTAATGATAAACAAGAAACGACAACATTTAGCCCTTACTTAACCTCGTTACAGACTTCTGGTTAATTTAAACAATTTTTTACTTTCCCTTTGTGCAAACGGAAGACTTCTTTGCTTTTCTGAGATGGAGTCTCGCTCTGTTGCCAGGATGGAGTGCAGTGGCGCGATCTTGGCTCACTGCAACCTCCAACTCCCTGATTCAAGCTATTCTCCTGCCTCAGCCTCCTGAGTAACTGGGATTACAGGCATGCACCACCATGCCCAGTTAATTTTTGTATTTTTAGTAGAGACGGGGGTTTCACAATGTTGGCCAGGCTGGTCTCGAACTCTTGGCCTCAAGTGATCTACCTGCCTTGGCCTCCCAGAGTGCTAGGATTACAGGTGTGAGCCATCGCTCCCAGCCTTCATTACCACAGCCCTTACAGTGCCGCAAAGAAAAAAACAGTTTCAGTGAGGTATGTGTAAACTCTGTGTACTCACATCCCACCCTAGAAAGCCCACAAAAAAATACAGCCCAGGATAAATGTATAGACTGACTTCTAAACCCTCACAAGAAAGCTAAGGAAATGTAATTAATGTAAAAATAATGTTTCATTAGTTATCAATCTAAAAAAGGTACTCAATGAAGATAAAACTGAAAATATTCTCTGCTGATTATTAGACATCTATTAGAGATCATTAGCATACTATAGTAGGCAGAATTCTAAAGTGGGTCCCGTGATCTCCACACATTCCCCATGTTACACCTTATACACTCCCCTCGTTTTGAGTGTAGGCAAGACCTGACTTGTTTCTTGTTGTTGTTGTTGTTGAGATGGAATCTCACTTTGTCACCCAGGCTGGAGTGCAGTGGCGCGATCTCAGTTCACTGCAGCCTCCACCTCCCGGGTTCAAGTGATTATCCTGCCTCAGCCTCCCTAGTAGCTGGGATTACAGTTGGTGGGATTAGCCACCACGCCTGGCTAATTTTTTTTGTACATGTTTAGTAGAGATGGGGTTTCACCATGTTGGCCAGGCTAGTCTCAAACGGTTGACCTCAAGTGATCTGTCTGCCTCGGCCTCCCAAAGTGCTGGGATGGGAGACCTGACTTGTTTCTAACCAAAAGAATATAGCAAAAGTGATGGGATGTCACTCCTGTGTTATGTTCTATATAAGATACCATCTTAGCAGACTGGAGAAGCCCTTGCTGGCTTTAAAGAAGCAAGCTGCCATGTTGTAAGACAGTCTACAGATAAGCCAGGCAACAAGGAGCTTCAGGCAGTCCCTAGGTGAGAGCAGCTCCCAACTCAGAGCCAAAGGTCATCAAGGAAACAGACTTCAGTCCTACAGTTAAAGATGAATTCTGCCAAACACGCTGAAGGAGCTTGGAAGTCAGTCTTTTTCCCCAGTTGGCCCTTTGATGAGACACACTACAGCCCCAGCTGACACCTGGATTATAGTGCTGTGAAACCCTAAGAAGAGGACCCAGCTCAACTGTGCCCAGCTGTGAGATATGTGTTATTTTCAGCCATTATGCTTGCGGTATTTTGTTATACAACAATAAAAAAGCTAACACAAATACCTATAAAACTTTTTTATTTTTTAATAAGTATCACTCAAAATGTTATCAATAGACTTTAGACCACACACAGTAGCTCACGCCTGTAATCCCAGCACGTTGGGAGGCCAAAGCTGGAAGATTGCTTGAAGCCAGCAGTTCAAGACCAGCCTTGGCAACATGGCAAGACCCCCCCCATCTCTATAAAAATAGGCCAGGCACAGTGGCTCACAGTTGTAATGCCAGCAGTTTGGGAGGCCAAGGTGGGTGGATCACTTGAGTCCAGGAGTCTGAGACCAGCCTGGGCAACACAGTGAGACCCTGTCTCTATAAAAATAGGCCAGGCATGGGCCAGGTGCAGTGGCTAGTGCCTGTAATCCCAGCACTTTGGGAGGCCGAGGTGGGCGGATCACGAGGTCAGGAGATCGAGACCATCCTGGCTAACATGGTGAAACCCCGTCTCTATTAAAAAATATAAAAAATTAGCCAGGCACGGTGGCGGGCACCTGTAGTCCCAGCTACTGGGGAGGCTGAGGCAGGAGAATGGCATGAACCCAGGAGGCCGAGCTTGCAGTGAGCCGAGATAGCGCCACTGCAGTCTGGCCTGGGCAAAAGAGTGAGACTCCATCTCTAAAAAAAAAAAAAAAAAAAAAGATTGCAATATATGATAATCATTTTTAAAGTATTTGATTAAACCTGATAGGTTTTCCGGAAATGGAAAAAAAAATCCATTTTAAAACCAAGCTGATTTTTAGAAAATTTCAAAATGTAAATCAGCCCTATCCAGAATATAATTTATTTAAAACTTTATCTTAAGGAGTCATTTTATAATAGTATAACTATTAAAAAAGTAACTGTTATTTTAATGTTTTGAAATAAAACATTTTAAAATATGAATACTGTAGCTTAAAAGAAAGAAACTGGAGAAGGAAAAGTAGAGAAAGAAATGCCAATTCCAGTCCAAAGTTTTATTTGTCAAGTTTTCTTAGAATAACTTTTACCTATTTACGAATTCTTGTAAATAGAATTTATAATGGAAATACTGAAAGACTTTTGCCTAAAGTGTCATTATCGAATACTGCTGTGATGTTACTGTAATGTAATAAGTTATTGTTGCAAAGTGCTGTTTTTGACTTAAAATTTTATTTTGTGTGTCTTGAAAACCATAGTATTAAAGGTATCGAGATTGTGCAAGTGCTGGGCACACTTGGCATGGGATAATGTTTTTATTTTTACAAAATTGTAATATAACTATGCAAGTGTTTATTAAAAGAACACAAACTGAAAAGGTTATGGGATTAAAAAAAGTAATGGGATTAAAAAAGTTATGAGATGTTCTGCACGGTGGCCCACGCCTGTAATCCCAACACTTTGGGAGGCCGAGGCGGGCAGATCACCAGGTCAGGAGATCAACACCATCCTGGCTAACACAGTGAAACCCGTCTCTGCTAAAAATATAAAAAATTAGCCAGGCATGGTGGCACACCCCTGTAGTCCCAGCTACTTGGGAGGTTCAGGCAGGAGAACTGCTGGAACCCAGAAGGTGGAGGTTGCAGTGACCCGATATCGCACCACTGCACTCCAGCCTCGGCAACAGAGTCAGACTCCGTCTCAAAAAAAAAAAAAAAAAAAAAAAAAGTTATGAGATTAAAAAGTTATGGGATTTTTAAAAAGTTACATTATGGGATAAAAAATGTTATGAAAAAAGACTGAGGAAAAAAATTGTGGGAAAAAAGTTGTGGAAAAAGTTATGAAAAAAAATTATTCCAAAAAAAGTTTTATGAAAAGCTATGGGATTAAAAAAAAAGTCATGTGATAAAAATTAAATAAAAGCAGGCCACTGTCAGCAAAACCTGGGGAAGTGTCCAATGGGGGAAACAGGTGCAGATGAGATGAAGATTACTGTCATCCAAAAGCAGGGAACTAGGCCCGGCGTGGTGGCTCGCTCCTGTAAGCCCAGAATTTTGGGAGGCCGAGGTGAGCGGATCACCTGAGGTCAGGAGTTCGAAACCAGCCTGGCCAACATGGCAAAACCCTGTCTCTACTAAAAATACAAAAAATTAGCTGGGCATGGTGGTGCGTGCCTGTAGTCCCAGCTACTCAGGAGGCTGAGGCAGCAGAATTGCTTGAACCCGGGAGGTGGAGGTTGTAGTGAGCCCAGATGCACCATTGCACTCCAGCCTGGGTGACAGAGCAAGACTCCATCTCAAAAAAAAAAAAAAAGTTATGGAAAAAACTTAGGAAGAAAAAGTTATGGGATAAAAAAAGTCATGGGATAAAAATAAAAATAAGGCTGGGCGCGGTGGCTCACGCCTGTAAGCCCAGCACTTTGGGAGGCTGAGGCAGGTGGATCACCTGAGGTCAGGATTCGAGACCAGCCTGGCCAACATGGAGAAACCTCATCTCTACCAAAACTACAAAAATTAGCTGGGAGTGCTGGCGCATGCCTGTAACTCCAGCTGCTCCAGAGTCTGAGGCAGGAGAATCGCATGAGCCTGGGAGGCGGAGGTTGCAGTTAGCCAAGACAGCACCACTGCCCTTCAGCCTGGGCAACAGAGTGAGATTCCGGGGGGGAAAAGAAGGAGTGTAATGTAATGCCTCACTCATCTTCTTTAAGCAGCAGTGGGAGTAAATCCCACCACTTTAGGGCAACCTCCATCTCCCACTGCAGCCAAGATTCAATCTAAGGGCGTTAGTGGGAAGAAAGGCTCAGCATAAAATACCATATGAGCTCTCAAAGTCCAGTGTGAGCATAGCGTGTTTTTTGTTTTTTGCTTAACCTTGTATTATACAGCTTTTCAAACATAGAAACGTAGGGAGAAGTTCAGCAAAGTGGCATGTGCCTGTATTCCAGCTATCTGGGGGGCTGAGGTGGGAGGATCACTTGAGCCCAGGAGCTCAAAGCTGCTGTGAGCTATGACTATACCTCTGCACTCCAACCTGGGCAACAGAGCAACACTCCATCTCTAAATAAAGACGTAGAATACTAAAATGCAATAAACCCCCATGTACCCATCAGCTTTAACAATTAACAAATGGCCAATCATTTTTTAATTTTTTTATAGACATGGGGGTCTTACTGTGTTGCCTAGGCTGGTCTTGAACTCCTGGGCTCAAGCAATCCACCTGCCTCGGTCTGGGTTCACAGGCGTGAGCCACCGTGCCTGGCCCAATCTTTTTCCTGAATGTTCCTACATCTCCCCCTGGGTTATTTTAAAGCAAATCCCAAACATATTTTAGTTTTTTTTTTTATTTTTTAAGAGACAGATCGGGCCAGGCATGGCGGCTCATGCCTACAATCCCAGCATTTTGGGAGACTGAGGCGGGAAGATCACCTGAGGTCAGGAGTTCAAGACCAGCCTGACCAACATGGAGAAACTCTGTCTCTACTAAAAATACAAAATTAGCTGGGTGCGTGGCACATGCCTGTAATCCCAGCTACTCAGGAGGCTGCAGCAGGAGAAACGCTTGAACCTGGGAGGTGGAGGTTGCAGTGAGCTGAGATCGTGCCATTGCACTCCAGCCTGAGCAACAAGAGCGAAACTCCATCTCAAAAAAAAAAGAGACAGAACATATCACTGCACTCCAGCCTGGGTGATAGATAAAGCCAGACCTTGTCTCAAAAAAAAAAAAAGAAAAGAAAAAACAAACGGTGTCTCACTCTGTTGCCCAGGCTGGGGTGCTGTAGCATGATCGTAGCGCACTGCAGCCTCAAACTCCTGGGCTCAAGTGATCCTCCTGCCTCAGCCTCCCAAGTATCGAGATTAAAGGTGCCCACCACCATGCCTGGCTATTTTTTATGTGTTGTAGTTGACCAATCTTATCTCAAACTCCTGGCCTCAAGCAACCCCCCGACCCCGACCTGGACCTCCCAAAGTGGTGGGAATTAGAGACATGAACCATTACTCCTGGCCAAATTATTTCACCTGTAAAAACTTCAGTATGTATCTCAAAGAGATAAGGACTTGTTTTTAACAGAAATACAAGCCTGTATGACATAGAAATACAAAAAATAATAATAACATAGAAATACAATACCTGGCCCAACGTTGTGGCTCACGCCTGTAATCCCAGCACTTTGGGAGGCCAAGGCAGGCGGATCACTTGAGGTCAGGAGTTCGAGATCAGCCTGGCCAACATAATGAAACCCCGTCTCTACCAAAAATACAAAAATTAGCCGGGCATGGTGGCACTCGCCTGTAATCCCAGTCTACTCGGGAGACTGAGGCAGGAGAATCTCTTGAACCTGGGGCGGCAGGGGGGTTGTGGCGCGGAGCTTGCAGTGAGCCGAGCTCCTCCACTAGGCAAAAGGGCGAGACTCTGTCAGGAAAAAAAAGAGAAGAAAAGAAATACAATACCCGAAAAGTTTTAGTAATTCCTTAAATCAGTTATCTTTGAATTATTATCCAAAAAAGATCCACACATTGAAACATTTTGTTGATACATCTCTTAAATCTCTTTTATTCTGAAGTGTTTTCCCCTCCCACATTTCCCACTTTGCCATTTTTTTGAAGACGACAGATCATTTGTCCCATATAATTTCCTACATTTTGGATATGGTTGATTTCATACCTTTGGTGTCTTAACATATTCCTGCTAATCTCTATATAGCCTATAAACTGGTAGTTAGATCTTGAGGCTTGATTAGGTTCAATTTTTGGCAATAGGTGATGCTCTGTATTTCCTATGCATCTCACCAGGAAATGATATGATGGTATGATTGATCAGAGTTGAGGTATTGTTAGCTAGCCTGATGCATTCATTATGTCTTTTTTTTTTTTTTTTTTTTTTTTTTTGAGGCAAGGTCTAGCTTTGTTGCCCAGGCTGGGGTGCAGTAGCGCGATCGCAGTTCACTGCAACCTCCGCCTCCCTGACTCGAGCGATTCTCCCACCTCAGCCTCTGGAGTGCTGCGACCCCAGGCGCCGCCACCTAATTAATAGACGCGTTGCCTCCGTTTTTCAAATGTCCCTTTCAGGACGCCGTCCCCTTCCTGGTACGCGAAGCGCTGGGAGCGAAAGGGACTTCCGGGAGATCTAGGAAGTCGCTTCTTTTTCTGGTAGAAGGCGGGGTTCTCCTCGTACGCTGCGGAGTCTCTGCGGGGTGTAGACCGGAATCCTGCTGACGGGCAGAGTGGATCAGGGAGGGAGGGTCGAGACACGGTGGCTGCAGGTCTGAGACAAGGCTGCTCCGAGGTAGTAGCTCTCTTGCCTGGAGGTGGCCATTCATTCCTGGAGTGCTGCTGAGGAGCGAGGGCCCATCTGGGGTCTCTGGAAGTCGGTGCCCAGGCCTGAAGGATAGCCCCCCTTGCGCTTCCCTGGGCTGCGGCCGGCCTTCTCAGAACGAAGGGCGTCCTTCCACCCCGCGGCGCAGGTGACCGCTGCCATGGCTTTTCCCCATCGGCCGGACGCCCCTGAGCTGCCTGACTTCTCCATGCTGAAGAGGCTGGCTCGAGACCAGCTCATCTATCTGCTGGAGCAGGTCAGTGCTTGCCTGACGCCTTTATCGCATCTACAGTTTAGCACTCATTGGATGCACATTTCTTCCTTGCCGTGCCCCTTTGATCTTGTTCTTGGCCCCTGGTATTGTCCTTGGCGCTTCCCCAGCAGGTCCAGAATGAATCCAGGGAGTAGTAAGAGCTGTTTGGAACCTGGCCAGAGAGTTAATGGAAATCACCCCCCAACCCCGCATACAGGCAAGGGAGACACCATTAGTGCCAGGCATCCCTAGGGACGGAAAGATGGTTAAGACATCTTTGCCATTAGGGATCTTACCACTCCAGTAGGAGCTGTATGAAGCACAAATTATCACACACAGGTGGTAAATGAGTGATAGAGCTAGTGTACCCGAAGAGTTCACAGTAAGTGATCATTTCTAGTTGGGGTGATGATCTAGGAGCTTCAAGGAAGTGAGTGTGAGTAATAAGCATATTTTCTTTGGAGACTAAGCATGCTCCAGGCAGATAGATTGGTAGGAGCAAAGTTGGCAAACCAGGGAAAGACAAGGCATGTAAGGGAAGACACCCATCAGCAGTTACACAGTAGCCACTGAAAAAAATTTTTTTTCCATTTGTGGCATGAGACAATACTTGATGATTCTAATAGTGATGTGTGTGGTGGCGTAAATGGGCAACAAGAAGGCCAGTTAGGAGACCGTAGATCAGACAAGAAATAAAGGCCCACACAAAATTGGTAGCAGTGGGAATGAAGGAAAGTGATGGATTTTTAAGTTATGGTGAAAGAAAACTCAAAGACTTACTGATTGGTTATAAATGTTGAAGGAGAAGCAAAAATGAGTGAGATTTTTAACCTGGGTTATTAGGAAAATAATACTGCCACTGTGATTTTAATGGATTACTTGTGTAATCATTTAGTTATTCATTTTATGTCTGTATTCCTCATTAGACTGGAAGGTGGGCAGGGATCATGTTTGTTTTGTTCAACACTACCTAGTGAGTACCTAGCTTAGAGTCAAGCACACACCATGTGCTTAATAAATATTTGTTGTATTAACATTGAATAGAAATGAGAAAAATAATTAGAAAAAGGAACAGGTTTGATGGGGGAAGTTGATTTGTTTGGGTTTGGATGGGGGAAGTTAAGATGCCCGTAAGAAATATAGCTTGTAACATCCAGCAGATAGAAATGTAGAACTGCAGCTGCATTGTGAGGACTGGAAGGAAGATGGATCAAGATGAGAACTGCAGGGCATCTTAGACCAGATTTTATTTCTATTTTATTTTATTTATTTTTTTGAGACACAGTCTCACTCCGTTGCCCAGGCTGGAGTGCAGTGGCGCGATCTTGGCTAACTGCAACCTCCACCTCCCGGGTTCAGGCGATTCTTCTGCCTCAGCCTCCCCAGTAGTTGGGATTACAGGCGCACGCTAGCCCACCTGGCTAATGTTTGTATTTTTAGTAGAGATAGGGTTTCACCATGTTGGCCAGGCTGGTCTCAAACTCCTGACCTCAGGTAATCTGCCCGTCCCAGCCTCCCAAAGTGCTGGGATTATAGGCTTGAGCTACCACTCCCGGCTTCTTTCTCTTTAATACTTAGTGCTTGCACAGTGACATGCACATAAAAGACTTGCAACAATGTCTGAAGAATTTAAAAGAGGTGCTAGTTAAAGCCACTAGTTCAGGTGAGATCAAGTAGAGGAGACCAAGAAGAGAAACTTGAGCCCACTGGGTGATTCAGCATGGCCAAAGTGGATTTCCAGGCAATAACGTCCTCTCCTAACTAACTTCTGACTTAATTTTTGTTAATGTGCACTGCTATTCAGCTTGAAATATCAGAATCATCTTTGCCTCTCCTTCACCCTGATACTTAACTGAACCAGTTGCTGAGTTCCATGGATACTTCTTTACACATAACTTTTTTATGGTGATTATAAAATAACACTTGCACATTATAGAAAATGTAAGAAGATTAAGGAAAGTAAAAAGGAAAAGAAAACTACTTATAGCCCTACCATAAGTTATAAACACTACTAACACTGTTAATTTCTTTCAAGTATTAAAAAAAATATTAGGCTGGGTGCGGTGGCTCATGCCTGTAATCCCAGCACTTTGGGAGGCCAAGGCAGGCAGATCACCTGAGGTTGGGAGTTCGAGACCAGCCTGACCAACATGGAGAAACCCCATCTCTATTAAAAATACAAAATTAGCTGGGCATAGTGGCCCATGCTTGTAATCCCAGCTACTCAAGAGGCTGAGGCAGGAGAATTGCTTGAACCCAGGAGGTGGAGGTTGCGGTGAGCCGAGATCGCGTCATTGCACTCCAGCCTGGGCAACAAAAGCGATACTCCATCTCAAAAAAAAAAAAATTATATTACACATTCCATGTATCTCTTAATCTATGTTTGCTCACACCACCACCAGCCTAAATCAGGCCTCTTTCATTGCCACATGCTTGCGCTCTGTGGATGGTTTTATTAACTCCCTAAGTGGACTCCCTGCCTCCTGTTTCTCTGGTCTTCAGATTCCTCTAACATTTCCAGCTGATTGGAATGCTTCAATACACAAAAGCTTTATTTTTCCCTGTTAATTAGAGGATCAAGGCCACACTCCCCTAAGCTGGCATTTGGAGCCCTTCCTGCTCAATTCTAACCAACTATTTTGGTCTATTTTTCACCATTCACCTACCTCAAGATTTCCTACCCTCTGTTGACCATTTTGAGTTTGGGAAACTAAAAAATAAATAAACATTTAAAAAGGCCAAACGTGGTGGCTCACACCTATAATCCCAACAGTTTGGGAGGCTGAGGCAGGTGGATCACCTGAGGAGGTCAGGGGTTCGAGAACACCCTGGCCAACATGGCGAAATTCCATGTCTACTAAAAATACAAAAATTAGCCAGGTGTGGTGGCATGCGCCTATAATCCCAGCTACTCGGGAGGCTGAGACAGGAGAATTGCTTGACCCTGGGAGGCAGAGGTTGCAGTGAGCTGAGGTCGTGCCACTCCAGCCTGGGCGACAGAGTAAGACTCTATCTTTAAAAAAAAAAAAAAAAAAAAAAAAACAGGCCAGGAGCAGTGGCTCACACCTGTAATCCCAGCACTTTGGGAGGCCGAGGCAGGTGGATCATGAGGTCAGGAGTTCAAGACCAGCCTGGCCAAGATGGTGAAACACCGTCTCTACTAAAAATACAAAAATTAGCCAGGTGTGGTGGCAGGCACCTGTAATCTCAGCTACTCGGGAGGCTGAGGCAGAGAATTGCTTGAATCCGGGAGGCGGAGGTTGCAGTGAGCCGAGATCACGCCACTGCACTCCAGCCTGGGTGTCAGAGGGAGACTTCATCTCAAAAAACAAACAAACAAAACAAAACAACAAATAAGATTTAAAAAAAAAGATTTCCTGCTCTCTATACTGTTGACTTTTTGGGCTGGATCATTCTTTGTGGTGGGGGCTGGCCTGTGCATTGTTGGATGTCTAGCAGCACCCCTGGCCTCTACCCACAAGATGCCAGTAAAACCCCTACCCTGAGTCAGATAACCAAAAATGTGTCTGGACATTGCCAAATGTCCCTCGGAGGGCAAAATCGTCCCCTTACTACACAGCCTATGCTCTCTTTCTGATCTTTGCTGGACTGTCCTCTTCATCCATCCATGTCAACACCCTACTCATTTGTGAAGGCCTGGGTGAGAGGAAACTCCCAGTGACTTTCCCCTCCCTGTCACTAACTGTGACCTCTCCTTCCTCTGAACAGACATTGAGATCGGTGTCAGGAGTGGTGGTGCAGGAATCGTATGACAGGGATTGTGGGGTGGGGGAGTGGAAGGGTGATGGGGTGAGGACTGTCCTGGGTTTGCTAAGTTTTCTGCAGTGAACGTGTGCTATTTTATTTTGTACTTAGGAGAAAAATGCAAGGTGGGGTTCTGTTGTGTTTGGCTTTGTTCAGCAGGAGACCAGGGGTGGTTAGGAGCCAGAGTGGAGGAGGCAGCAGAGAAGGGGAGTGAGGTGCAGACCAAGGTCACAGGTGAGCAGAAGGGTTGAGTGACAAGGAGTTAACCTGAGAAAGAAGGTGGGATGTCTTCTTCCCACTGGTACAGAAAACGAGAAGGCAAAATAGGTAAATATACAGAGAAGTGTCAACTGTGGATACAGATAATAAATAAGGTGACGGGCTAGACGATACTTAGTGCCCTCCCACCTCAGAGACTGTTTCTGTTAGATGGGTGGCTGGGCCACTTCTCAGCTGCGGAAGCTCATGTGACCTGTGAGTGACCCAACATATTGTGTCTCCTTCAGCTTCCTGGAAAAAAGGATTTATTCATTGAGGCAGATCTCATGAGCCCTTTGGATCGAATTGCCAATGTCTCCATCCTGAAGGTACTGTCCCTTTCCCCTGGGGGCCATGCCCCTCTTTAAGCAGTTTTTCTTTTGATGAACAATACAAACTACTGAAGAGTGACTACTCTTGTAGGGCAAATATAGGGTAGCTTAATTGGGTAGAAAAGGGAGATTGATGCTGTTCGTATTTTTTTGTTTTGTGTTTTTTTGCGGCGGGAGACGGAGTCTCTCTCTGTTGCCCAGGCTGGAATACAGTGTAGTGACACAATCACAGCTCACTGCAGCCTTGACCTCCTGGACTCAGGTGATCCTCCTGCCTCAGCTTCCCAAGTAGCTGGGACCACAGGCATGTGCCACCACACCTGGTTAATTTTTAAATTTAAATTTATTATTTATTTTTCTGAGTCTGTTTACTACAGAATATATATATATATATATATATATATATATATATATATATATATATATATATATATTTAATTTTGTAGAGATGGAGTCTTGTTATGTTACCCAGGCTGATCTCAAACTCCTGGGTTCAAGTGATCCTCCTACCTTGGCCTCCCAACGTGCTGGGATTACAGGCATGAGCCACCACACCTGGCCCATACTGTTTTTATATTGTTTTATTTTAGGTTTTTCTATTGACAGTTTGAGGAAAATTCAGTGGGATGGTCGTCAGGGGAGCATAATTAGCATAATTAGGAAGCCCTCAATAATTAGCATAATTAGGAAGCCCTCAAGAAGTCCCCTATCTTCGTGTCACACTTTGTGCTTTTCAGGCACTCTTATGTCCATTGTCTTATTGGATTCTCTCTGTAGCAACACGAAGTAGACAAGCTATACAAGGTGGAGAACAAGCCAGCCCTCAGCTCCAATGAACAGTGAGTGTCTGGGAGAGTCTGTCCCTACTCCAAGCTGGAAGAGGTCCCTAGGGGCACGTCTGCCTTTCATCTGTCCTTGGCTGAGATATATGGTTCACCTCCCTGAACTTTACAATTTCATGGCTAGGTTAATCTTCTGTTGTTTTGTTTTGTTTTCTGTAGTTTCCTTTCTGTGGTTTCTTGTCCTCTTCCCTCTCTAATTTATAATACAGTCTATAACCAGATTGACTAATCTTTCAAAATTATTTTCATCGTGCTTTTCTCAAGAACCTGCAAGGCAGCTGGGTGCGGCGGCTCATGCCTGTAATCCCAGCACTTTGGGAGGCCGAGGCGGGCGGATCTTCTGAGGTCAGGAGATAGAGACCAGCCTAGCTATCATGGTGAAACCCCATCTCTACTAAAAATACGAAAATTAGCCAGGTGTGGTGGCGTGTGCCTGTAATCCCAGCTACTCAGGAGGCTGAGCCAGGCGAATCGCTTGAACCCGGGAGGCGATGAGTTGCAGTGAGCCAAGATCGCGCCACTGCAGTCCAGCCTGGGTGACAGAGCAAGACTCCATCTCAAAAAAAAAAAAAAAAAAAAAAAAAGAAGAATCTGCAAGGCCTCTTATTACTTGCTGAAGATTGTCCACATTATTTGTCATAGACTTCAAGGCTGTCTGCAGCGTGGCCTCCCACGTTACCTTTCCAGCCTTGTCTCGTGTGTCCCCTTCAAGCCTCTGTTGACATGTGCTTCCACCTGCCTCTCAGCCTGTGCCTTCACCCTTTTCATCACTCCATTCGCTCTGCCTGAAATTCTCTCCTGTCCTCACTGCTCCTATAAAGAATGTCCATCCTTCAGAGCCCGGCCACCTCCTCCATGAAGCTCTCTGTTGCCCTTCCAGTCTAGAGTGATTTTCTCCTCTGGATTTCCATGGCATTTTGTATTTGTCCTGTTCGCTCGGCATGTAGTCATGTACAGCTGTTGTCTTGATTTTAAAGTATTTCTGAAACTTAATTAATGTACATGCTTTCTTAGAAGAAAAAATTCTCCTGGATACATGGAGAATATATCCATGTACCCCAGTTTGAAAAAAAATATTTTCTATTACTTTCTTATATTTAAATTTTTTTAATTAAATTTATTTATTTTCAGAGACAGGGTCTCACTCTGTTGCACAGGCTGGAGTGCAGTGGTGCAATCATAGCTCACTGCAGCCTTGAGCTCCTGGCTCAAGGGATCCTCCTACCTCAGTCTCCTGAGTAACTGGGATTACAAGTGTGCAGCACTGCATCCGCCTATAGTTTTATTTTATTTTATTTTTTTGAGTAGGAGTCTAACTCTGTCACCCAGGTTGGAGTGCAGTGGCGGGATCTGCCTCCCAGGTTCAAGCAATTCTTCTTAGCCTCCCAAGTAGCTGTGATTACAGGCGCCTGCCACCTTGCCCAGCTAATTTTTGTATTTTTAGTAGAGATGGAGTTTCTCTATGTTGGCCAGGCTGGTCTTGAACTCTTGACCTCAGGTGATCCGCACTCCTTGGCCTCCCAAAATGCTGGGATTATAGGCATGCACCACCTCGCCAGGCCTTATAGTTCTTTTATTTTACTATTATTATTTATTATTATTTTATTTTATTTTATTTTTTTTGAGACGGAGTTTAGCTCTTGTCATCCAGGCTGGAGAGCAATGGCGCGATCTGGGCTCACTGTAACCTCCACCTCCTGGGTTCAAGCGATTCTCCTGCCTCAGCCTCCTGCGTAGCTGGGATTACAGACATGCGCCACCATGCCCAGCCAATTTTTGTATTTTTAGTAGAGACGGGGTTTCACCATGTTGGCTGGGCTGGTCTCAAACTCCTGACCTCAGGTGATCCACCCGCCTCTGCCTCCCAAAGTGCTGGGATTACAGGTGTGAGCCACCATGCCCAGCCAATGTTTGTATTTTTAGTAGAGACGGGGTTTCACCATGTTGGCTGGGCTGGTCTCAAACTCCTGACCTCAGGTGATCCACGCGCCTCTGCCTCCCAAAGTGCTGGGATTACAGCACTATTATTATTTTTAATAGAGATGAGGTCTCACTGTGTTGCTGAGGCTAGTTTCGAACTCCTGAGCTCAAGCAATCTTCTCACCTTGGCTTCCCGGAGTGTTAAGATTACAGGTGTGAGCCACCATGCCCAGCCTTTATTTTTAACTGACAGATAATAATTGTATATTTTTATGGGGTATTCTTATATTGTTTTTCAGCACTGATTGTTAATATACTCCATATCTGCATCTTTTTTTGCCCACTGGATTGTAAATTATTTGAGAACAGGAACTTTTGGGTCCACCATAGGGCCAGTAATGTACCCAGCTCATCACATTATACCCATTGTGTTGAGAGGTATCTTCTGTGGTTGGTATATGGTGGACCAAGAGAATAGCATAGCTTTGGCTAGGATGAGACCTGTAGGGCAAATGGCAAAAGAGTTGGTATTGTTTCAGTTTCTTCTAAGTTGCTATCCAACTTGATAATTCTTCTTCACTGTTTTTTTTTCTTTCTCTCTCATAGATTGTGCTTCTTGGTCAGACCCCGCATCAAGAATATGCGATACATTGCCAGTGAGTGTGCCATGGTACTATGTGTAACTGTGGGAAAGGGCGGGCAAAATCTAAGGGCCTTGGCCATAAGGACCCTCTAATAAGAAAATAATTGTTTGAGTTGGCCGTAGCACTTGTGGAGGATGTCTGCTTCCCCGCTTCTTTTTTTTTTTTTTTTTTTTTTTGAGACGGAGTTTCACTCTTGTTGCCCAGTCTGGAGTGCAATGGCACGATCTCGGCTCACTGCAACCTCCGCCTCCTGGGTTCAAGCGATTCTCTTGCCTTAGCCTCCCAAGTAGCTGGGATTACAGGTGCCCACCACCAGATCGGGCTAATTTTTTGTGTTTTTAGTAGAGACAGAGTTTCACCATGTTGGCCAGGCTGGTCGCAAACTCCTGACCTCAGGTGATCCACCCGCCTCAGCCTCCCAAGTGCTGGGATTACAGGCGTGAACCACTGTGCCCGGCAGCTTCCCTGTTTCTAGCATAACAGATGGCCCATGACTTGCTGGGCTGCATTCCTTCTCTCTGTAGGTCTTGTCAATGCTGACAAATTGGCTGGCCGAACTCGCAAATACAAAGTGATCTTCAGCCCTCAAAAGGTGAGTTTGGATCCTGGAGGAAGTGGGATAAGGTAGAACAGGACTGAGGACCGGGCAGGGGTAAGGGGCCAACAGCACTACCTCCCTGTCTCCGTTCGTTTTCTGTTGCTGTAACAGAATACCTGAGACTAGGTAATTTATAATGAACAGAAATTTATTTAGCTCATGGTCTGGGGAGGTTGTGAAATCCAAGACTGTGGGGCTGGCATCTGGCGAGGGTCATCCCATGGCAGAAGGGTGGAAGGTGGAAGCCAGCACATGAGACCAAGAGACACCCAGGGGCTGGACTCGCCTTATAGCAACCCACTCCTGCCATAAGGACATTAATCCATTCATGAGGACTCCTCCCTCATAACCCAATCACCTGTTATTAGGCTGCACCTCCCAACACTGTTGCACTGCAGATTCAGTTTCCAACAGATGAACTTTTGGGAGACACATTCAAACCATAGCACTCCCTCAAAGCAAATTATGTGTGATTGAACCTAATACCTGTCACTAACGCATCCTCAATTCATTAACATATCCTCATTTGTTTAGCAGAGGGTCTGTCATCATACTGTCCCAAATAAAGTATTGTGGAATTGTGCGAAGAGGCCTCTACGTAGATTTTTTTAAATGAAAAGCTTCACGCTTGCGAGGTAGAACCTGCTCTGTATCCCTAACACAAACTCTAGTATAGTAATGGTGCACAATGTTACGGCTTTCCAGTGACTTTCTCCCTGTATCCCTTTAAGAATAAATACGATAAATCATCACCCTCCCTCTTCCCATCCGCTATGCTTATAAGGATGTGGCTGGGCTGCCCCTGGGTTACTAGAACCATGCCACCATATATTGGAAAAGCCTTTTCTTGCACAGGAAAGGAACCTTAGAGACTGTTTTACTCCACCCCAACTTTGAGCAGCTGAGGGAACTGAAGCCCATGCTCACACAGTGAGTTAGCACAGCCAGAGTAGAGCTCTTCCATCTTTAACTCAATAATTGCAGTACATATTTGGAGGTCCATCATAGTCTGTCCATTTCTTGATTCCATTGAGCTCCCCTCTCACCTCCACATCAGCTACGTGCATCCTCAATCCCAGTGATTGGGAGGAATGACGTTCCAGGCCTTTACCTTGCCAACCATAGGCCTCTAAAGCTACAGCAAGTAGTGCATGCATACTTACAGAAGGTAGAAGCTAGACTAGGAAGAACAGGGATTTATTCCTTTTCAATCTTTCTAAGAAAATTCTAGAGAAAATAGAGGCAGTAACTAAGGACTGAAGCCTCTGAAACCAGGCTGTCTGGATAAAATCCACCCTTGAGGCCTTATTACCTGTGTGGTCTTGGGTTAGGTACTGAGCTGCTCCGTGTCTCGGTTTTCTCATCTGGAAGATAGAGTTGATAATAGTACTTATCTTTTAATTTAAGTGAGATGACTTTGAGTCTCTGTTGAAATAAGAAATCAAGTGGGACCCTAGGCTTATATTGTTTTCTCCTTCTGTAAAAGGAATAAGAGGAAAGAGCCAGTGACCTTCCTTTGAATGTCACCTGAACATTGATAGCACAATCTTACAAATATTTATCTTAGGATAATATGCTTAGGAATACAAACGTGAAGTATTATTACCAGGGCAAGAAATTATTGAGTAGGACAACCACTCAGAATTATAGGTACTTTTGAATGTTACTAAAGGAGTCATGGCAATAATTTCTAGTTCTTGGACTCTTACAAACCTTTTTTTTTTTTTTCTTTTCAAATTATGCTTCCAAGGACAGCTTTGGTGTTTTGTCTTGTCTTGTTTTGTTTTGTTTTGTTTTGTTTTGTTTTTGGAGACAGTGCATTGCTCTGTCACCCAGACTGGAGTGCAGTGCCGCAATCTCGACTCACTGCAACCTCCGCCTCCCAGGTTCAAGCAATTCTCCTGCCTCAGCTTCCCGAGTAGCTGGGACTACAGATGTGCACCACCGTGCGTGGCTAATTTTTTATATTTTTAAAAGAGGTGGGGTTTTGCCATATTGCCCAAGCTGGTCTCAAATTCCTGAGCTCAGGCAATCTGCCCACCTCTGCCTCCCAGAGTGCTAGGATTACAGGCATGAGCCACTGCGCCTGGCCAAGGACAGATTTGTATTAACAGGGAATAATCCTACAAGTTAAAATAATCCTACAAGCCTCTCTATTACACAGAAAAACAAAATAGTTATTTTTATGAGTGTTCTCCACTTAACACCTTATCTAATCAAATTCTTTGACCTAATTTTATATTAGGAGGCATCTCTCTCTCTTCTTTGAGACTCCTTTGTTAATTATGAAGATTGGCAGTTTTCAGACCTGGCTCTGGAATTCCATTACTTAGCATTAAAAGTTAAAAGCAGGCCTGAAGATTTCAGTTTTCCTGGCAGAAATGAGTGAGGGAGGAATAGGATTCTTCTGTGTAACAGTAAAATAAGGAGCACGTAGCATTGATCTACATCTCACAGAGCTAGTATGAAGATGAAGACAAGTGATTCCTGTAAAACACTAAGAACAATGCCTAAACCATTTTAAGGGCTTACAACATTAGCTGTTAATAATGTCAACTCATTATCAGATGTGAGTGCCCTCAGCATTCTTTCTCATTACTTTAAAATATTCACCCTTTCCCCACTTACCTCAAAGGAGGAAGAGATCGTGGCCTTTTCCCTCCTAAGATGAGCTGTTCCATGCCAGTTCTTGGCCCCATTTCTGCTTTCCTTCTCCATTATCTTGCTTTACCAGGTAGACTTTCTCTTCTGCCTTCACCCATGTCTATGCCTTCTAAACAATGTCTCCCATTTCATCTCTTTTCCCTTTCAGAGCTCCCCCTTCTTTCAGGGCCAGGCTTCTGTGAAGAATGTTCTATTGTCACTGCTTCTGCTTCCTCATCTCCACCTTCATCGTTTCATCTAGTCTCCCTCAGGTCTCCGTTGTCAAATCCACTGGTGTCTATTTAATGTTAATCCTACTTAACTTCCCTGGCATTTGACACTGTTGCCCACCCTTCCTTGCAACTCTCACCTTTCCTGCCTTGACTGTTGCTGTTTTCTCCTGCCCCTGCTTCTCTGAGTATTCTTTCTCAGTCTTCCCTGCCAGGTCCTGTACTCTGGCCCCCTTTCATCTTGTGTTCCCTAGAGTCCTGTCCTTAGCTCTCCTCTGCGTGTTCTTTTCTCTTGGACAGACCATCTACTTTATTTATTTATTTGAGACAGGGCCTCACTCTGTTGCCCAGGCTGGAGTGCAGTGGCACAATCTCAGCTCAGTGCAGCCTTGACCTCCTGGGCTCAAGTGATCCTCCCACCTCAGCCTCCTGAGTAACTGGACTACAGGCACACACCACCATGCCCAGCTAATTTTTGCATTGTTTTGTAGAGATGGGGTGTCACTATGTTGCCCAGACTGGTCTAGAACTTCTGGGCTCAAGCGATTCACCTGCCTCGGCCTTCCAAAGTTCTGGGATTATAGGAGTGAGCCAGTGCACCCAGCCACATCATCCACTTTAAATACAGCATATATGCTACTTAATCCCAAGTCCTTGTCTGTGTCTCCCAAGGTCCCGTGGGCATGTCCTAAACAGAACTCACTCTCCCTTGTACAGATCTTTTCCTCCCATCTGCTCCTCCACAATTTCCAGAGCACTTCATGCCATTGCTCTCATCTCTGTCTGTACAACTTACCTTTTGAAGACAGCTGAACTCCTTCTCCTTTGTAAACCTCTTCCATTCTCTCAGGGAGATAAGAAGCAATTTACTCAAACATAAATTAAATGGATGAGAAAGAACTGAAGTGCTGGGCTGAATGATTCTAATGGTTCTTTCTAGATCTTAAGAGTCTGGGTTCTCTTGTCTTTCACTGGGTTCGGCAATTATTGTCCTCATCAGTGACCACAGAGGAACTCCAGAGAAATGGAGAGAACAGAGAAGAAGGTAGTTACTAATCAATTTCCTTTTCTCTTTCAGTTCTATGCGTGTGAGATGGTGCTTGAGGAAGAGGGAATCTATGGAGGTGAGAGGAGATGAATGTGAGTGGAAAGGGAAAGAGAACATACAGAAGAAAAAACTGTTGTTGTTCTCCAACCCCCCCACCCCACCCCCACCACCAGCTCCTTCTTTTCCTGGTCTTATTCCTGTTAGTGTAGCAGGAGGAGAGGTTCCTGAGAATGGGAATGGGAATAGGACCACGAATTAGAACACTACTGGGGGCTGGGCGCAGTGGCTCATGCCTGTAATCCCAGCACTTTGGGAGGCCGAGGGGGTGGATCACCTGAGGTCAGGAGTTTGAGTCCAGCCTGGGCAACATGGTGAAACCCCATCTCTACTAAAAATACAATAATTAGCTGGGCGTGATGGCGCACGCTTGTAATCCCAGCTACTCGGGAGGCTGAGGCAGAAGAATTGCTTGAACCCGGGAGGCAGAGGTTGCAGTGAGCCGAGATCACGCCATTGCACTCCAGCCTGGGCAACAAGAGTGAGACTCAGAGAAAGGAAGGAAGGAAGAAAGAAAGAGAGAGAGAAAGAAAATAAAAGAAAAGAGAGAAAGAGAGAGAGGGAGGGAGGGAAAAGAAAGGATAAGAAAAGAACACTCCTGGGGTAGTATGAAAGGAACACCAGGGCTTAGAGTTGGAAATGACCAGCCACTCTTTTCTCACCTTCCAAGGCTCCCACAGGAAAAACTGGGCCTCCCCTCTGTGTATTCCTCCGCTATTCTCCACACAACCCAAACCTGATCACAGCCCTCCCTGCTGGAAATAGCAGCGGCTCAATATAAAGCCCAGAATCCCCAACATGCCTCCTATCCCTTGCACAGTCTGGCCCCTCCTGTCCCATTAGCCTCATCGTGTGCTGCTTCCTTCTCCTGACTCGCCACCCTCCAGCCAGAGAGACTTTACCCATGCTTTTCCAGGTACCCAGAACGTTCTCCACCCTATAGCTTTTTGCCTTCCCGAGTCTTACCCAAATTCTAAGCTTGATTTTCTCTTCTTGAGGGAAGTCTTTCCTATACCCCCAGTTGTGGTTACATCCCTTTAATATATGTGCTCACAGCTTGCTGTTTGACCTCTTTGGAGCACAACCGTGATTTAATAGTTTGTGTCATAATTTGTCTGGTGTGTCTCCCTCACTAGACTGTAAGCTCCAGAAGGTTGGGAGCATGTCCATTTTGCTCACTGCTGTATCTCTGGTGTTCATACAGTCCTACATGTAGGCAGCTTTCAGTAAATATATGCTGAATAATGAATGAGTGAGCTGGGCGTGGTGGCTCACACCTGTAATCCCAGCACTTTGAGAGGCCAAGGCAGGCAGATCACCAGAGGTCAGAAGTTTGAGACAAGCCTGGCCAACATGGCAAAACCCCGTCTCTGCCAAAAATACAAAAATTAGCTGGGCATGGTGGCGTGCACCTGTAATCCCAGCTACTTGGGAGGCTGAGGCAGGAGAATTGCTTGAACCCAGGAGGCGGAGGTTGCAGTGAGCCGAGACTGCACCATTGCACTCCAGCCTGGATGAAAATTGCTAAACTCCATCTCTAAATAAATAAATAAATAATGAATGAATGAATGTTTTCTCGGCACTTTTGGTCAGCCCTCTAGTAAAAACCCACCACTTATCACATTGTATTACAGGCTGCTGTGGACACATCTCCTTTCCTTATCAGACTGTGAGCTCCTTAAGGGCAGGGACTGTGTCTTATTCTTCTTTGAGCCTCCATTGCTTAATGCAGTACTGGCATGTGGCAGGCACTCATATATTTGTTGCACGCACTCAAATATTTGTGGCGGACCTTCCCTCTTAACGTGGAGCTAAGTACCTTCTGCAGGGAGGCTGATGCTCTCTGTCCCCACAGATGTGAGCTGTGATGAATGGGCCTTCTCTTTGCTGCCTCTTGATGTGGATCTGCTGAGCATGGAACTACCAGAATTTTTCAGGGATTACTTTCTGGTAAATGCAGAGGCCCTTGTGTCTTGGCATCAGGGGATGGGGACAAATGTGGGATGCAGAGGGCTAGAAATACCAATATAACCTTTGTCCAACGCAAGTAATTTATCACAAGTGATAGTGATGTGGTGATTGAGTGCTACAGATTGGTCTCTGTGGGACTTCCTGTGGAGCCAATGAAAACCTTTCAAGCATCCCCCAGGCCCTGCCACCCTGCTCCAGGGCTTCTAGGGCTAGCCACTTTCCAGGTGGTCCTACTGGGTTGATTCATATCTTTGTGGCTTGTGTGGTCCCTGCAGGAAGGAGATCAGCGTTGGATCAACACTGTAGCTCAGGCCTTACACCTTCTCAGCACTCTCTATGGACCCTTTCCAAACTGCTATGGAATTGGCAGGTGCGCCAAGGTAAGAGCACTAGCAGTACTGTTGTCCCAGCAGACGCTGTTTTCCCTGTTCTGTACCCTCCTGGGGTTATCCAAGGGCACCTGTGATATGAGGTGTATTCTTTACTTTGCTTTCATTGTTCTGGAATAGATCCTCAGAGAGGAGAACTTGTGTGGCTAACAGAGAAGCAAAAGCCAGGATCTCCTGGGTAGCATTCCTAAATCTCTTTTTATTTTGGGGACAGAGTAACACATCTTCTCATCAGTAGGAAGAGTGTTGGGGAAAGATAGACACAGACGGGAGTAGATAGGGCCATATTGTGAATAATTAGCTCCTGTCTCGGGGACAAGAGGAAGTATCACGTGGAAAGGGCTGACTTCTGTAGGTATGGGGCTGCAGTAGGGACCTGGACACAAGACTGAGAATGTCTTGGGCCCTGGCAGATGGCATATGAATTGTGGAGGAACCTGGAGGAGGAGGAGGATGGCGAAACCAAGGGCCGAAGGCCAGAGATTGGACATATCTTTCTCTTGGACAGAGGTAAATTATGCCCAGCGTTCCTGTCATCTTTCAGCCCTAGAAGACACGGGAATATGGAAGGCGTGGTGGCAAAGTTAAAATCCTAAAGTTAGGGCTGTGAATCCCAGCTTTGAGGAGCGTGGGTCCTTGGCCCTATGGAAAGTATCAAAGCTGCCCTTGGACATGCTGTGTAGAAGGCTGGGTCAGGGAGAACCTTCATGGTCAGGGATCTCTGTTTCAGATGTGGACTTTGTGACAGCACTTTGCTCCCAAGTGGTTTATGAGGGCCTAGTAGATGACACCTTCCGCATCAAGTGTGGTAAGTGCTATGGTCCTCTGCATCTTGGCAAGATGGACGGGTCATCAGCCTTGGCACCTCCCACGTGGGGCAGGGTTTGTGGGAGAGACCCAGACCCTGAATGAACTGCTGGCTTCCAAATAGTTTGAGGACCTTTATGGCAGTTCAGGGAATGGTAGGAGAAGTCCTCATTGGAGATCCTAATAGCTGTCCCTCTGCTCTCAAAGGGAGTGTCGACTTTGGCCCAGAAGTCACATCCTCTGACAAGAGCCTGAAGGTGCTACTCAATGCCGAGGACAAGGTGAGGGTGTGGGTGCTAGCAATGGGCCCACCTAGGGCCACTGCTTATACCAGGCTGTGGGCCCCCTGCTTATACCAGGCTGTGGGCCCCAGCTCTGAGAGGGGAGGCTGAGTCTATGGGAGAGAGGGTTTCCCCACCAGTTCAGAGCATCTCCTAGAACACGGTGTAGGCATTTGATATGGACTTACAGATCCCAGCTCAGCTTTCTTTGTATTTCTGCCAGAACACCTGAGTACCCTTCCTGTACTGTCATTCTACTGCTAAGTTATGGTTCTGACAGAGTAAGCTGTTCTTGTCTTACTGTCCTCACAGGTGTTTAATGAGATTCGGAACGAGCACTTCTCCAATGTCTTTGGCTTCTTGAGCCAGAAGGCCCGGAACTTGCAGGCCCAGTATGATGTGAGGCTCCAAGCCCTGCTCCTCTGTTTTGTTGCCTCAGTGGCTTCCCAAGGCTGCTGCCCTTGGGCTCCCCTTCTAATACTATGACAGGTTCCCTGTCCTTTCTCATGGATGGATGGCAACTGAGGGAGGGTGGTGGTTTCTCGTGTCTGAGGTTGGGGGGTTCACCTTTGGGAATTTTCCCACAGCGCCGGAGAGGCATGGACATTAAGCAGATGAAGAATTTCGTGTCCCAGGAGCTCAAGGGCCTGAAACAGGAGCACCGCCTGCTGAGTCTCCGTAGGTTTCAGCTTGAGGGGCGTGAGGGGAAGTGACTGTGTCCCTCTGGGGAAAGCTCCAGAGGACCATTACTCCCGAGGAGGAGATCCCTGTTCATCTGATGCATATGGTCTTACTTGGTGTAAAGTGGGAAGAAGTGCTTTCGGATTTTGCCTTAGGAGGTTTTTTATTCTTCCGGACAATAAAGGGACATCTTTCTAGAACCAGGAGTATGTCAGCTCCCTTTGTCCAACCTGCAGATATTGGGGCCTGTGAATCCATCATGAAGAAGAAAACCAAGCAGGATTTCCAGGAGCTAATCAAGACTGAGCATGGTAACTGCCGCAGCCTTGCTGTGCTACTGCCCACGCTTCTACTTCCCCAGCTCCCAGCCCCGTCCCACCCTTAAAAGATGTTCTCTGGCTCTTTCCAGCTGACACTGGCTATGTGGAATGCTGGTTCCTGCTAGAAGTCCTGGGGGTCCCTTAACCCACCCCAAGGATGGAGAAAGAGATGGGGAGACAGACACCTGTTAGCATAGATGGCAGCAGCTGAGCTGGCCCCCAGTAACAGGCTCTCCTCTGATTACTCACAGCACTGCTAGAGGGGTTCAACATCCGGGAGAGCACCAGCTACATTGAGGAACACATAGACCGGCAGGTGCGCAGGTGGAGGGCTGGGGGTGCCAAGAATGGCATTTAGAGGTGGGGTCGGCCTTAAGCAGAAGGAAAAGAACACGTGTTGTGAAGCTTCAATTCTCCTTGATTCTTTCTTCCTATGCAGGTGTCGCCTATAGAAAGCCTGCGCCTCATGTGCCTTTTGTCCATCACTGAGAATGGTGAGCCCAAAAGACTGAAGATGAGAATGTCAGATTGAGAAACTATGCCTTAGGGACAGAAGAAGTGATTTTGAAAGGCTAAGGCAAATGTCTTAGCAAACAGAATGTTTCCCTGTAATTTAATGGATTCTTTTTTGTTTGGGGTGAATTATCACCAGGACACAGGGTAATTTATTGCTTTAGCCCTCAGCGGGACCACATCCAGGCCACCCTAGAGCCTTGTCATATCTTAGGACTGCAGGGGTGCAGAGCTGAGTGGCATTTCTCTCATCACTCCATCTGTCCTTATTTTCAATAAGATAAAGATACATTCCAGGAAAAAGGGACAGCAAGTTAATTTCATGAACATTTATTTTATTTATTTATTTTTTTGAGACAAGAGTCTCGCTCTGTCACCCATGCTGGAGTACAGTGGTGCGATCTCGGCTCACCACAACCCCCACCTCCTGGGTTCAAGTGATTCTCCTGCCTCAGCCTCCTGAGTAGCTGGGACTACAGGTGTGCACCACCACGCCCAGCTAGTTTTCATGAACATTTCTAAAATTCCAGATTGTGCAACCTTCATGGCAACTTGTTTTTACTGTTGAAGTCTTCTAGTTGGTGAATATTCTTGAAGGTTGCCTTCTTTTTCTTTTTCTTCTTTTTTTTTTTTTTAAGACAGAGTCTTGCTCTGTTGCCTAGGCTGGAGTGCAATGGCACGATCTCGGCTCACTGCAACCTCCACCTCCCAGGTTGAAGCGATTTCTCACCTCAGCCTCTCAAGTAGCTGTGACTACAGATGCACGCTATCATACCCAGCTAATTTTTGTATTTTTAATAGAGACAGGGTTTTGTTATGTTGGCCAGGCTGGTCTGGAACTCCTGACCTCAGGTGATCCACCTGCCTCGGCTTCCCTAAGTTCTGGGATTACAGGAGTGAGCTACTGTGCCCGGCCAAAGGTTGCTTTCTACTCAGAGAAGTATTTGCTTATTCTAAATCTCATTTACTGCAGTTAGAATCCCAGTTATTATTACCTCTATGGAGAAAAACATATAAGACCGTGCTTTTGGAACTCATTTGAACACTTTTCCTATTTCTCAATAGTTGTGAAGCAGTTCCTAGTAGAACTGCCCCTTAGCCAGAAAGAAATGCATGAGTCTGCCAGGTGCGGTGGCTCATGCCTGTAATCCTAGCACTTTGGGAGGCCAAGGCAGGCGGATCTTGAGATCAGGAGTTGGAGACCAGCCTGACCAACATAGTGAAACCCTGTCTCTACTAAAAATACAAAAATTAGCCAGGTGTGGTGGCGCATGCCTGTAATCCCAGCTACTCAGGAGGCTGAGGCAGGAGAATGGCTTGAACCCGGGAGGCGGAGGTTGCAGTGAGCCAAGATCGCACCACTGCACTCCAGCCTGAGTGACAGAGCAAGACTCCATCTCTAAATAAATAAATAAATAAATGCATGAGTCGTCACTTCTCCTCCCTCCTGCTGCATCCTCCCCACATCCCACTACGATCACCGTTAGTTCCAGTGTCCCCTCCTCAGCACCCTTATGTTTCACAGCTCTTCTTGGGAGCTCCCAGACCAAGGCTTTATCTTTCAATAAGCAAGCTTAAATTTAGAACCAAATGTATACTCTGCAGGGTTAACATTTACTGAATCCTTCCTCCTGAAGAAGGCGTTCGTTGCTGGTTGATCTGTACATTTTAGGGTGCCTCTGCCGGCCTCTTTCTCATGCACCTGTCTTATTTTCTTCACTCTTAGGTTTGATCCCCAAGGATTACCGATCTCTGAAAACACAGTATCTGCAGGTAAGGCCTGGAGAATGTATTCTTGAGGGAACTTGATGGAGGGCAGTTATTGGGCATTTTTGAAAGAGGCAAGAGAAGTGGCCCCTTTCCTGCCTCCATTACCCTCCTGTTTCCATTCAGGCCTCCCTCTTAGAGCTACTAGGGAGAGTCACCTTTCAGCACGCCTCTCTGCCCTCTACCCTTGTTTCACCCCACACACTGACGGCGCATGGCCAGTGCTGAGAATTAAACATTTCAGTGCTGGCCCCAGTGTGAGTTCTTTCTCCTGGGAGTCTCCCTCATTTTAGCACCGTGTGAGGCATTGATTCAGCTTTCCTTCCTGGTACTTCTCAAGTCTTACTTCATCCAGGAAGCCTTTCCCATACATCCATGGGTCTCTAAAGTCTCATGCTGCTTTTTATTCTTCTTTGTTTGGTGCTAATTATTTCTTTTCTTTTTTTTTTTTTTTTTATTTCGAGACGATGTCTCGCTCTGTTGCCCAAGCTAGAGTGCAGTGGCGCGATCTCCACTCACTGCAGCCTCTGCCTCCTAGGTTCAAGCATTTCTGTGCCTCAGCCTCCTGAGGAGCTGAGACTACAGGCACGAGCCACCATGCCCATCTAATTTTTGTATTTTTAGTAGAGATGGGGTTTCACCATGTTGGCCAGGCTGGTCTCAAACTCCTGACCTCAAGTGATCTGCCTGCCCTGGCCTCCCAAACCCAAAGTGCTGGGATTACAGGCATGAGCCACCGCTCCCAGCCCTGTTTGGTTATTTCTGATGTGAAAATTTATCTCAACAAAGTGTGAGCTCCTTCACACTGCAGCAGAGGCTTCATAGTCCTTCTGCTCAACTCTGTAGTACCTGACAGTACTAGATGCTCTTTGGACACTCAGTAAATAGTCTAATTGCATCTTCTTCAGAGCTATGGCCCTGAGCACCTGCTAACCTTCTCCAATCTGCGAAGAGCTGGGCTCCTAACGGAGCAGGCCCCCGGGGACACCCTCACAGCCGTGGAGAGTAAAGTGAGCAAGCTGGTGACCGACAAGGCTGCAGGTAAGCAGGGAGCACAAGTGACCCCTGCTCCAGCTGTTGTCCTGACTTCTCTCAACACGCAGCATGCTGGGAGGGACAGAATGAATTGGAGAAGGTGGACTGATTCCTTCCTATTAATGTCATTACTATTATTACTACTACTTCTGCTAGTAAGAGCAGTTTCCACATAGTAAACACTTACCATGTGCTGAGCCCTTTAGTTTCTCATTTAATCTCACAAAGACTGTGAGATAAATTTTCTCATCCTCATTTTATGATGAAACTGAGGCTTAGAGAATTAAGTGATTTGTCCAAGGTCCCTTAGTTAGTAAGTTAGGTCGGTTTAACTCCCAAAGCACATACCAATAAACTCGGGTTACCCTGTGGATTGCATTTAGTAGAGAGCTGGTACCCCGTAGGAGGGGGAAGACTGTGGGTGGGGAGAAGGGTGGGGAGTATATCTTGATTAGTTCCAGGGAATTATAGTTGAACAGCTTCCGAGAGTTTTTGGATGTGATTGGTGCTGTCGTGTCCTGAATGGTGTTATCTGTGGCAGTGTCATGAATCCATAGACCTTAGGTGAAACCTGACACAGATTTCTTCCCCAGGAAAGATTACTGATGCCTTCAGTTCTCTGGCCAAGAGGAGCAATTTTCGTGCCATCAGCAAAAAGCTGAATTTGGTATGTGGAACAGGGATGGTTAGGGGAGACAGTGGGTTCATTCCATTGTGGAGTACTTTTCTTTTTTTTTTTTTTTTTTGAGATGGAATCTTGCTCTGTTGCCCAGGCTGGAGTGCAGTGGCACAATCTCAGCTCACTGCAACCTCTGCCTCCCAGGTTCAAGTGATTCTCCTGCCTCAGCCTCCCAAGGGATTACAGGCATGTGCCACCACGCCCAGCTAATTTTTGTATTTTTAGTAGAGACAAGGTTTCCCCATGTTGGCCAGGCTGGTCTTGAACTTCTGACCTCAGGTGATCCGCCCACCTCGGCCTCCCAAAGTGCTGGGATTACAGGCATGAGCCACTGCGCCCAGCCCATTGTGGAGTACTTTGAATCCACAAAAACCTTTTTGTCATTTCATGTGTATAAAGATTCTTTTGTTTGGTAGTCTTATAGCATGGTAGATTCATTCATTTAATCAACATGTAACAAGCACCTGCCAATGCCAGAGAATATTCTAAGTGCTGCTTCAGTGACAACCATATCCTGTGTCACTTAAGGGTAGGGAAAGGAGAAGCCATCCCTCCAGCCCCTTTACATTATTCAATAATGGCGCATGGGAACTCATTCCAGAGAACTGGCAGTTACTGAACAAAAACTGCCATCTTCCGTTATGGATTCTCTTTTCAGGGCTATTGCTGGTTCTCCCTTTAGTTGAAATAAGAATTGTTCCTTGGGCCATGCCACTTTATCTGACCCTTTAAAGGGTTAGGGAGCTGAGCTGTCACTTGCCTAATGAAGTCCCTTTGTCTTACAGATCCCACGTGTGGACGGCGAGTATGATCTGAAAGTGCCCCGAGACATGGCTTACGTCTTCGGTGGTGCTTATGTGCCCCTGAGCTGCCGAATCATTGAGCAGGTGAGAGCATGTAATTCTTGCTCCCATTCATATTTCATTCTCTCTGCTTTCTCTTGGTCCCTGGCGTGTCTCAATGTTTTTTTTTTTTTATTTGAGATGGAGTCTTGCTCTGTCACCCAGGCTGGAGTGCGGTGGCACGATCTTGGCTCACTGCAACCTCCACCTCCCAGATTCAAGTGATTCTCCTGCCTCAGCTTCCGAAGTAGCTGGGACTACAGGCATGTGCCACTGCACCCAGCTAATTTTTGTATTTTTAGTAGAGATGGGGTTTCATATAGACAGGGCCAACTATATGTTGACCAGGCTGGTCTCGAACTCCTGACCTCAGGTGATCCCCCCGCCTCAAACTCCTAAAGTGTTGGAATTACAGGCGTGAGCCACCACACCTGGCCCTGTCTCAACTTTTTGCTACTTGAGTAATGAGCAAGAAATGTGACAGTCTGGCTGCTGTGCCCTTCCTTTCCTAAGCCTGATACTGTCTGTAGCCTTAAAAACAGTGCTTACACCTTCCCAGGTGCTAGAGCGGCGAAGCTGGCAGGGCCTTGATGAGGTGGTACGGCTGCTCAACTGCAGTGACTTTGCATTCACAGGTATGTGGCATTAACAGTGGGGTAGGCTGGCAGTGAGAGGTGGGCTGGATGCACCACTCAGGACTAGCATGTCAGGGAAGGGCTGAATCTGGTCTGATCCTCACAGATATGACTAAGGAAGACAAGGCTTCCAGTGAGTCCCTGCGCCTCATCTTGGTGGTGTTCTTGGGTGGTTGTACATTCTCTGAGATCTCAGCCCTCCGGTTCCTGGGCAGAGAGAAAGGTAAGAGAGAGCAGAAAGGTGAGAATTGGCCTGCATTGTATCTGGGTAACAAAGTGTCAGCTGGGCACGGTGGTTCATACCTGTAATCTCAGCACTTTGGGAGGCGGAGGCGGGCAGATCACCTGAGGTCAGGAGTTAGAGCCTAGCCTGACCAACATGGTGAAACCCCATCTCTACGAAAAATACAAAAATTAGCCAGGCATGGTGGCCGGTGCCTGTAATGCTAACTACTCGGGAGGCTGAGGCAGGAGAATTGCTTGAACCCGGGAGGTGGAGGTTGCAGTGAGCTGAGATTGCACCATTGCACTCCAGCCTGGGCAACAATAGCAAAACTCCATCTCAAGAGAAAAAAAAAAAACACGCAAAGTGTCCTGCACAGGAATATTTTTCTCCTGGCCTCAGAATACAACTTGCCATAGCCTTAACTCTGGGCTGCCACAGCAGGGAGCCCAGTTATACCAGTCATAGAAAGCAGTGGTGCCCAAGAGCATGGCACTCACGTCTCTGTCTATAAACTGGTGCTGTGATCCCGTGGGGACTGTGGAACTGGAGAGGCTCTATGGGTTGCCGTTGGGGCCTAAGATCTGTGCTGTCTCTTCTGCTGCTGCATTTGACTCCTTAGGCTACAGGTTCATTTTCCTGACGACAGCAGTCACAAACAGCGCTCGCCTTATGGAGGCCATGAGTGAGGTGAAAGCCTGATGTTTTTCCCGGCCAGTGTTGACATCTTCCCTGAACACATTCCTCAGTGAGATGCAGGCATCTGGCACCCAGCTGCTATAACCAAGTGTCCACCAACTACCTGCTAAGAGCCGGGAGCATGGAACGTGTTGGGATTTAGAGAACATTATCTGAGAAAAGAGTTCACTTCCTGCTCCCAGGATATTTCTCTTTTCTGTTTATGAAGTACAACCCATGCTGCTAAGATGCGAGCAGGAAGAGGCATCCTTTGCTAAATCCTGTTTGAATGTCATTGTAAATAAAGCCTCTGCTCTCAGATGTAATACGTTGGTCGTTCTGGACACGCACTTCCATCTTTATTAGTGAAAGCCCATTGGAGCTTGCTACAGGGGCTTCCTGTGCTTCTTGGCCTGGACTTTGTAGTGGCTCCAGGCCTGGTCTGGTTCTTCCCTGTAAAAATCACTCTACCACTCTGTACCTGAGTTTCCTCTACCATAAAATGAGGGAGATGGCTGAGGTGACCAGCAAGCACGTTTCCAGTTCTAAAATGTTGTGATTCATTACATTTTTGAGAAAATGACTTTGTTGTTTTAATTTAAGGAGGCACTTCAATTTTAAGCGTTTGTTTCTTATTGCAGAATGAAAGATTGTGTGCCATTAGAGCCATTTCAGGCATCAGCAAACAGTGCTCCTATAAATGTGCCAGCACCCTCCTCATTACTGATGCTAGTAGCCTTTCTCTCTCTCTTTACCTTTTAAAAATGATGAAATATAGGCCAGGTGCTGTGGCTCATGCCTGTAATCACTGCACTTTTGGAGGCCGAGGCAAGAGGAACGCTTGAACCCCGGAGTTTGAGACCAGCCTGGATAACATGGGAAGACCCCGTCTCTACAAAAAATAAAAAAATTAGCCGAGGGTGGTGGCACACACCTGTATTCCTAGCTACTGGGGAGGCTGAGGTGGGAGGATCCTTTGAGCCCAGGAGGTCGAGGCTGCAGTAAGCTGTGACCTTGTCTCAAAAAAAAAAAAAAAAAGAAGGAATTACAACCACCTATATTAGTGGCCTCTTTTCAGGCCTCTTCCAACTTGATCTCACTGATGACTATGCTTTCCTTGAAATTGTCTTATTCAGCTTCCATAATACCCTTTCTTTGTCCTCCCACAGTCTCTTAGGTTGTTCTTTGATTACTCCTCTCTGCTCATCCCATTTGCTGACATCTCCCCTCTCTCTGTCCTTTGTTGTCATCCACTTCCAGATCTCAAGCCTTCATCTCACTCCTTAGCGCCACACAAGTATTTCCTACCTGGTCATTCCACAGGCACTTCAAACTCAGCATGTACAAAATAAACTCATGAGTGGAAGCTCCTGTCCCTACTTGAATCCTTTAATCTGCTCTTCTTCCTGTATTCCCAAACTTTGTTCAAATGAGCAAAAAATTGTATTCTTGACCTCAGATTTTTTCTTTCTATGCCCCACCTTCAGCTGGTTCCCTTGTGCTATTGGTTCTTATTTCTAAATGTCTCTAGTTCATCTTCTCCTCACCATCCCTACGACAGAGGTCTTTATTGTCTCTTGCCTGGGTTTTTGCAAGAGTGTGCCTCCCAGCTGCTCATTCTTCCATCTGTTCCCCATTCCACAGTGCTGCCACTTACTAAAAGGAAGAAAGAAAATCAAAACCTGAGTTACTGGATCATCAAAAGTATTCTTCCTATAGAATAATGATCATTCTGGGCCCCGCACGGTGGCTCACACCTGTAATCCTAGCACTTTGGGAGGCCGAGGCAGGCAAATCACTTGAGGTCAGGAGTTTGAGACCAGCTTGGCCAGCATGGTGAAACTCTGTCTCTACTAAAATATAAAAATTAGCCAGCTGTGGAGGCGCGCACCTGTAGTCCCAGCTACTCATGAGGCTGAGGTGGGAGAATCGCTTGAACCCAGGAGGCAGAGGCTGCAGTGAACCGAGATCATGCCACTGGACTCCAGCCTGGGCAACAGAGCAAGACTCTGTCTCAAAAAATAAATAAATAAATAAGAATAATGATAATTCTGTATAAGAATATATTCCAAGGAAAAGGCATTCCTCAAGCATCTAGCTAGAATTTTGAGTGTTATGTCAAGCTAGTGTGCAAGACCAAAGACACTGCCAACAGGGCTGTTAATTCACAGAAAGAATAGGTGGCATCAGAAAAAGATTAAACAGTGGCAAAACATTGCACTTCCATCCAGTAGAAATATATGACCCTGTAATAGGATTTTTTTTTTTTTTTTTTTTTTTTTTTGAGAAAGGGTCTTGCTTTGTCGTCTAGGCTGGAGTGCAGTGGCGTGACCATGCCTCACTGCAGCCTTGACCTCCTGGGCTCAAGTGATCCTCCCACCTCAGCCTCCCAAGTAGCTGGAACTACAGGCTCATACCACCACACCTGGCTAATTTTTGTATTTTTTATAGAGACAGGGTTTTGCCACAGTGCCCAGGCTAAGGTCATATATTATAAACGCGTATTACACAGTGTTTTACATGCTGCGTTTATGCTCTGAATGGATATCTTTGCATCAGTTCTATGACTTTGTTAGCCTCAGCACCTCAGTGTAAAGGACAAGAGAGAAAAAATTGCCTTTTCTTTGGATACTTCATAATGCTGGTGCTAAGAACAAGTATGAAGATCACAAATTTGTGAAGCTTTCTGAAAAGCTCTCCTGTTAATTTAATCAACAAAGAATGCAAGTAAATTTTAAAAGTAGTGCTACCATCTACTCTATTAGTGGTGTCAATGTTAATCACAGAGTGCAAGGAAATTGAAAAAGTGGTGCCTGTCGCCCACTGTGTTGGTGCTGTGAATGTTTGGCATGCTGCTGACAAGTTAAAAAGAACATGGAAGCCGGGCGCGTTGGCTCACGCCTGTAATCCCAACACTTTGGGAGGCCGAGGCAGGCGGATCACCTGAGGTCAGGAGTTCAAGACCAGCCTGGCCAACATGGCAAAACCCCGTCTCTATTAAAAATACAAAAAAAAAAAGTATCCAGGCATGGTGGTGCGTGCCTGTAGTCCCAGCTACTCGGGAAGCTGAGGCACAAGAATTGCTTGAACCCAGGTAGCGGAGGTTGCAGTGAGCTGAGATTGGGCCACTGCACTACAGCCTGGGTGACAGAGCGAGACTCCGTCTCAATTAAAAAAAGTAAAAAGAACATTGAAAGCACTAATGAAGTTTTTCTGAAAATAAGAAAAATATGGTTCTGAAGGTGAAGCAAACAAGCATCCTTTACCTTTAGGGAAAAGGCATATGAAGAGGATTCACTTAAGTTACAGTTGGCCAATAAACACGAAAAATGTGCAATTTCAATTATAATCAAGTGCCAAACAAGGAAATGCCAGTATTATTATTTTACCTACAAAATGAGCAAAGATGTTTAGAAGTACAATAGAATTCAGCCCTGCTGAGGGTAACAAAAGGAGGGTACTTTTCCGGTGAGGCTTTGTGCAGAAGGCAAATTAATAAAGGGAGCATTCAGTAATTACACCTCTAGGAATCAGCCGTACGAAAATGCAGGATGCATTTATAAATACATACATACACAAAGATTTATGTATGAAGATATTCAGCCCAGCCTTATCTTTTAAATTATCATCTAAATATCAATAGCAGAATGGGCGAGATATCTACACACCAGGATTCATGCCACCATGCCACCATGAATCACTGGGAAAAAACGGTGATATATAAGCATTTAGGGATGTAACATGTTCATCGAGGAAAGGAGGCTACAAAAGTAATGTCTATTTTGAGTTTTAAATTTTTCATGTAACGATTTAGAAACTCATCTAATTTGATAACGTGACTTAGGCAAATCATTCAAATCTTTTTGCGTTTCCTCTGCAATGGCGATTGTGGAGGTTAAATGGGATAACTGGCGTTGAAACGTTCCAGGCCCATGAGCAGGACTCAATGTTCCTTCCCTTCCCCTTTAGTGTATGGCTTCTTACATCTGGGGAAGAGTCCCACCAAAGATCGATTCCAAGCTTCGCTTCTTGGATGAGCGAGGGAAACTAGGCGCTAACTTACCTATTCACCCCCGCGCCCGTTCCCGGCAGCCGGGACTCAGGGAAGCCAGGTAGCCGCGGTGCTCTCAACTCCCTCCCCGCCCGCGCACTTCGAATCCAAACTGCGCGGGGCGAGGCGGGGCGGCGCTCCGATGAGGTAGCTGGCTTGGGAGAGGAGTCCCTTGAGGCTGCCGCCAAGCCAGGGAAGCGGGAGGCGCAGGCCACGCCCGGCCACTCACAGACAGTGACGTCATCCCCCGCCGCCACTCCGGCGCTTCCCAGGCCCTGCTCGCGAGTCCCCACCCCGATTGCGCACCCGCGACTTCAGCCCGAGGGGCGGGGATTTTCTTGGAGCGACGGGACGCGACGCCAATCGCGACGAGGCTTCGCCCCGTGGCGCGGTTTGAAATTTTGCGGGGCTCAACGGCTCGCGGAGCGGCTACGCGGAGTGACATCGCCGGTGTTTGCGGGTGGTTGTTGCTCTCGGGGCCGTGTGGAGTAGGTCTGGACCTGGACTCACGGCTGCTTGGAGCGTCCGCCATGAGGAGAAGGTGCGGGTTGCGGGGAAATCGAGGGGACGCGGGAGGGAGCGACGCTCGTTTCGGCTGCGGGGCCTGTTCAGGGGTGCGGGACCCGTGCGGGGTCCCGGGCCTAGATCGTCACGGCAGTCGGCGCCGAGGGAGGCCGGGGGCGCTGAGGGGCAGGGTCTGGAGGCGGCGAGCCAGTGCGAGGGCCGCGGCGGTGAGACCTGACGCGCTGTCCGCCGGCGGCCGCAGGTGCCCGCAGGCTCAGACGCCCGGGTGGGAGCCGAGCGCCGGTGCCCGGACGCGGCAGGGTAGTCGAGGCCCGGGGCCCGGGGCGGCCTCCACCCAGGCGGTCAGCGCTGGCGCTCGGACCCCACCCTCCCCGCCCGCAGCGTCTCAGGTGCCGCTGCTTGGCGCAGATGACTCGTTGTAAACCTTCTGTGGTCGTGGCTTTTCTTTAAAGCTGTTAAGTTTATTTATCGTTGTTTTTCTTTGTTTTATTCTTTTTTTTTATTTTTGTGGAAACGCGGTCTATGTTGGCCAGGCTGGTCTCGAACTCCTGGCTTCAAGTAATCCTGCCACCTCGGCCTCCCAAAGTGTTGGGATTACAGGCGTGAGCCACCGTGCCCGGCCCGTTGTTTTTCTTTATATCTGGCCAGCGGTGTTAACGTTTTGTTTGAATTGGAAAGATAGCTTTGTTTCTTTGCAAGTTAAGAAACGGATTATGGAATTCTTTTCCGGTCGTTTTAATAACTTCCTAGGCGGTGTTGGGGAGGGACTGTCCGACTTGAAATCGGGACCAGACGGTGACACTGCCACTTACCAACCTTGTGACTTCCAAATATTAACTTTATTTTCTAAAAGTTGTGGATGCAGTTTTCTGATGATACAGCGTTAAATAATGTGTAGTTTTTGGTGGAACTGATTGTTCTAAGGCTTTGTAAGATTCTTCATTTCATGATCACTAATTCTGATCAGTCTTTTTAAAATGCTTGCCCTCAGAATAATGAGAATTGAGTGCCAACATGGTAAAACCTTGTCTTAACTAAAAATACAAAAATTATCTGGCCCTGGTGGCGCGCCTGTACCCCCAGCTTTTCAGGAGGCTGAGGCAGGAGAATCGCTTCAGCCTAGGAGGCAGAGGTTGCATGAGCCGACATCTCGACACTGCACTCCAGCCTAGGCGACAGAGTGAGACTACGTCTCAAAAAAAAAAAAAAAAGTCCATTAACAGTTTATGAATTATGTAGGCATCTCCTCTATCAAGGGATTGAATGAAGCAGGAGAAAACTTACCCTTTAATGTTGGTTCCAGGCTAATGGATATAATTAACTTTTTTTTTTTTTTTTTTTTTTTTTTTTTTGAGACGGGGTCTCACTCTGTCGCCCAGGCTGGAGTGTAGTGGCGAGATTGCTCACTGCAGCTTTGACCTCTGAGGCTCAAACGAAACTCTGGCCAGAATTAATTATGGTTATCGATCCCCGAAACAGGTTGAACTGGAGATCAACAAAGCTCCTTCTCTGGAATGCTAAGAAAAAATAGGGCAGTGGATCAGTGAAGGCTGCCTGAAGGTAGAAAATAATTTAAGGACCACTGTGAGATACCTTCCAGTCCAGTGATTTATGTTCAAGACTGGAAAAACTGACTCATTTTACAACCTTTTTGTCCTTGAGTGGTAGTCTTTGTATGCACTCTTGATTTTTTTCAGTGAATCTAAAAAAAAAACTCAGACTTGCTGCTTTTAGGGGATTATCTGAAACAATTTAGCCAGGGAGTATTTAAGTGTATCATGATAATTGTTCATAATGATTGCTCTGAAGCATCTTAAGATCATACAACTTTTTTGAAATGTCACGTTATTCATTCAAAAAGACTTCTTGGGCCTGGCACAGTGGCTCACACCTGTAATCCCAGCACTTTGGGAGGCCAAGGTGGGAGGATGACTTGAGCCCAGGAGTTCAAGACCAGCCTGGGCAACATAGCAAGACCCTGTCTCTATTTAAAAAATAATAATTTATACTAAAAAAGAAAAGAAAAATACTTCTTGAATGTTTGTTATATACAAGGAACCATTGCAAGTGTTGGGGATATAGCAGTGAGCAAAAGTGACATCCCTGCCCTCACAGAGTTTATATTCTAATAGCAAAAGAGGAGTGTAATAAATAAGTTAGTCTTAAATGGTGGTAAGTGCTATGTAGAGAAATCAAGAGGTTAAGAAGTACTGAAGGTGTAGGAAGGGGGGTTGTGGTTTTAAAGAGATGGGTCAGGAAAGGCCTCCCTGAGAAGGTGATCTCTGAGCAAAGACCTAAGAAGGAAAAGGGTGAAGCCATGCAGCATGGGGGAAAAGAGATCTAGGTAGAGGAATCAGCAAATCCAAGTGCCCTAAGGGGAGATAGCGCCTGGTATGTTCCAGAAAGAGCAAGGAGGTCGCTGTGACAGGAATAGAATGAGCACTGAGGTCAAAAGAAATGGCTTTCAGATGGAATGGGGCTCCATAGGTCTTTGGAAAGTCAGAGGCTTTTCCTTAGAGTGAGATGGCAAGTCGTTGGAGGGTTCTGAGTAGAAGATTAGGACTTGGGGCTCCTGTGTTGACAATGGACTTAAGGAGGCCAGCTTCGAAGCCGGGAGACCAGTTAAGAGGCCCCTGCCATACAGCAAGAAGTTGGTGGTGGTGACCTGGACCAGGGTGGGGGTGGTAGTGGTAGCAGCAGAGGTCAGGAGGAGTGAGATTCTGCCTGTCTTGTGTAGATAATGCTAATGGCGGGCATATAAGAAAGAAGTGTCAAGGATGATACAAGATTTAAGTTTAAAAAAAAAATTAAGTTCAGTACAATTTGAATGTTAGGAAGAGTGAGAAATGTTAGTTTTTAATTTGAAAATGATCCTCTTACAGGAAGTGTCTCTAACTAGAATAATAATAATGGGTGTTTGGTAATTCCAAACACCCATTTCCAACAGGCCAAATAAAATACGTTATATATTAGTAAAATTTTTATTTCTTTTTTTTTTTGGAGACAGTCTTGCTCTGTTGCCCAGGCTGGAGTGCAATGGCATGATCTCAGCTCACTGCAACCTCCGCCTCCTGGGTTCACCGGGTTCAAGTGATTCTCCTGCCTCAGCCTCCTGAGTATCTGGGATTACAGGCACCCACTACCACGCCCAGCTAATTTTTGTATTTCTAGTAGAGATGGGGTTTCACCATGTTGGCCAGGCTGGTCTCGAGCTCCTGATCTCAGGTGATCCGCCCGCCTTGGCCTCCCAAAGTGCTGGGATTGCACACGAGCCACCGCGCCCGGCCATAGTAAAAATCTGTAAGTTTTTCAATTAAGTCACAAATCAAAAACATTTCAGATTATGGGCCGGGCACAGTGGCTCACGCCTGTAATCCCAGCACTTTGGGAGGCCGAGGCGGTCGGATCACGAGGTCAGGAGTTTGAGACCAGCCTGACCAACATGGTGAAACCCCGTCTCTACTAAAAATACAAAAATTAGCCGGGCGTGGTGCCGTGTGCCTGTAGTCCCAGCTACTCAGGAGGCTGAGGCAGGAGAATCGCTTGATCCCAGAAGGCAGAGGTTGCAGTGAGCTGAGATCACACCATTGCACTCCGGCCTGGGTGCCAGACTGAGACTCTGTCTCAAAAAAAGAAAAAAAAAAGAAACCAAAAATGTTTTAGATTATGTGCCAAGATGTTTTTAATAACAGCTTTGAGGTATAATCCACATACCATACAATGTACTTAAATTGTATATTATAATTCAGTGATTTTTAGAATATTCAGAGTTGTGCAATCATCACTGCAATCAATTTTAGAACATTTTTATCACCCCTTTAAAATCCCATTAGCAGTCAATCCCCTTTCACCCCATGGTCCAAATTCTCCCCAGCCGCAACTACAAATCTACTTTTCGGCTAGGCAAGGTGGCGCACACCTATAATTCCAGCACTTTGGGAGCCCAAGGTGGGAGGACTACTTGAGCCCAGGAGTTCAAGAACAGCTTGGGCAACATAGAGAGACTCTACCTCTTAAAAAAAAAAAAAAAATTATTTATTTATTTATTTATTTATTTTATTTTTTATTTTATTTTATTTTATTTTTTGAGATGGAGTCTCACTCTGTCACCCAGGCTGGAGTGCAGTGACGTGATCTCAGGTCACTGCAACCTCCACCTCCCGGATTCAAGCAATTCTCCTGCCTCAGCCTCCCGAGTAGCTGAGATTACAGGTGCCCACCACCACACCCAGCTAATTTTTGTATTTTTAGTAGAGACGGGGTTTCACCATATTGGCCAGGCTGGTCTCAAACTCCTGACCTCGTGATCCGCCGGTCTTGGCACCCAAAGTGCTGGGATTACAGGAGTGATCCACCGCACCCGGCCTAAAAAAAAATTTTATTGTTTAAGTTAGCTGGGTGTGGTGGCTCACATCTGTAGTCCCAGCTACTCCGGAGGCTCAGGTGGGAGGATCACCTGAGCCTAGGAAGTTGGGGCTGCAGTGAGCCATGATCATGTTACTGCACTCCAGCCTAGGTGAAAGAGGGAGACCCTGTCTCAAAAAACCATACAAACCCCAAATCTACTTTTTACCTATTCTGGATATTTCATAAAAACGGAACCGTAGCTCTGGTCTTTTGTGACTTGCTTCTTTGACTTAACATAATGTTTTCAAGGTTTATTGCCAAATAATATTCCATTGTATGCCTATATACTACATTTTATTTACCCATTCATAAGTTGATGGCCATTTGTATTTTTTTTTTCACTTTTTGGCTATTATAAGTAATGCTGCTATAAACAGTTGTGTAGTTTTTGTATAAATGTGTTTTCATTTCTTTTGGGCAAATACCCAGTAATAAAATTGCTGAGTTGTATGAACTCTGTTAAACTGAGGGGCCGGGTGCAGTGGCTCATGTCTGTTATCCCAACACTTTGGGAGGCCGAGGTGGGAGGATTGCTTGGGCCCAGGAGTTCAAGACCAGCCTGAGCAACATGGCAAACCTTAAAAAAAAAAAAAAAAAAAAAAATTAGCCAAGCACGATGGCACGTCTATGGTCCCAGCTACTTGGGAGACTAAGGTAGGAGAATTGCTTGAGCCCAGGGCGTTGAGGCTGCGTTGAGCTATGATCACACCACTGCACTCCAGCCCAGGTGACAGTGAGGCCCTGTCTCAAAAAACAAAAAATCAATTGAGGAACTACCAGACTATTTTCCAAAGAGGCTGTACCGTCTTGCATGCCCACAAGCAGTGTCTGAGGGTTCTAGTTCCTCTAGATTCTCACCAATACTTTTTGCTATATATTTTTTTTTATTATACCATCCTGTTGGCTATGAAGTGGTTTTGATTTGCATTTCCCTAATGACTAATATTGAGCATCTTTTCATGTGCTTATTGGCCATTTTTATATCTTCTTTGGAGAAATGTCTATTCAGATTCTTTGCCCATTGTGCTAGATTTTTTTACTCAGAAAAACGATCACTTTACCTTCTAGATGTGTTACAGAGATAGGCAGCCCTGCTTGTAAACCTTCGTCAGGATCCAGAGTGCATAATACCTCTATTAGGTTAGGTAGGTTAGGAGCATAGGACCCTTTGGGAGGAATTCAGGGCCATTCATTTTATATCTATTGAACAACTACTGTGAGTTAGGGTGTGGTAAAATGAAGATGAATAAGATGTGGTGGTCCTTGCCCTTGAGTTTATGGTCTACTAGGGGGCTTGGGGGGAATGGTGAGTGACAAGTCCACAGCTCTCCAGAGGAGGTGGTGGCATATAGACGGAACTGAATGTACAAAGCGCGGTGGCATCAGAAAATGAGAGTTGCATGTGGTTTATTGAGGGGCATTGTTCAGGAAATGCCCGGGAAGTTCAGCTGGCCAGAGACCTGGGGAGTGTCAAGTGGGAGAGATTAGCAGACAGACTCGGAGAGAGGTTTTAGAAGGCCTTTCTACAGAAGGTGGTTGAACTATTTCCTGAGGGCAGTGGAGCCTTTGAAGGGGAGTAGTTAAGCGGGGATCTGATGGGATTTATTATGAACAACTAGCTGTTATGTGGAGATTGGCTGGGCAGGGGTAGGTCTGTCAGACTGAGGAGACTGGGATACTTAAGTAATGACCTTCAGAGCAGTGCCCCTGGCTGGCCTGTCTGGAAGCCAGGGTTTTGCATCCAGATCGAATATTGGCCACAGATTGGATCTTAAAAGTTATTTTTAATAAAATGGTAATATTAGGATTTTAACTTGTGCATTCTTTTGTCTTCAAAATGAAGTGCAAAAGGAGTGTTTGCCTGGGGAAGCTCTTTAGTTGGACTTTAGTTGAGATTATGTTAAATAAATGCCTTACTTACTGTTAACATTTCTCTTTTTTTCCTTTAAGTTCTGTTGGACTTGAACTGTTAACATTTCTAAAGTGAAGGGAGTACCGTAAATTCTTTTAAACGTTTGTCAGTATTTGGGTATTGGTATGGCCATCTGGTATAGGCAACAGGTATTTGTGTAGAAATGTTTCTTCAACAAGGACGGGCAACCTCTAAACTAGGATTTCGTGGCTGGAGATATTTTGGATGTGAATGTATTAACAGCTTTGGAGAGACACATTGTTAGAGATCCAGGCTGGTGACTTGTAGAACCACCGAAAGCTCTGAGACAGAAAGGGGCTAATGAAAGTCTCTAGTTGCAGTTGGGTGTGGATGGCACACAAAGACCTTAAGTGTTTAGGTGATTTGCTGCAGGCTTCTCGGCCGACTGGAAGCAGAGCACATCTAGATTGTAGTTTCTCTGGTGCCAGGGCAGTCTTAGTTGTCCTGTTATACCTAAGAAAAGGGAGAAAAATTTCTATTCTTTAAATGTTCTGTAAAGCAGACTAATTGTGATAATTTTTAAAGTAAGCTGTTCTTAAAAGATAAGATACAGAAGCCAGTTAAATTTGTATTTTAGATAAATAATTTTTTGTTAAAATAAGCTTTTGGTAATTGAAGAATAACATACATTCAGAAACGTACAGAAATCAAGTGTAAACTCAGTGAATTGTTCACAGTTGATGCACCTGTGTAAGCAGCAACCCAGAAGCCCTCTACCAGTCACTGCCTCCCCTGAGCCAAAAGAACTACTATCCTGACTTCTGAAAGCATTGATTAGTTTGGCCTGGTTTTGTTTTTGCTTTTTTTGTTTTCGTTTTTGAGATAGGGTGTTGCTTTGGAGTGCAGTGATCATAGCTCACTGCAGCCTCATCCTCTCAGGCTCAAGCAATCCTCCCACCTCAGCCTCCTGAGTAGCTGGGACTATAGGCATACGTCACCGTGCCCGGCTAATTTTTTTTTTTTTTTTTTTTTTAAGACGCAGAGTCTCACTATGTTGCCCAGAATGATCTGAAACTCCTGGGCTCAAACAGTTTTCCTGCCTCGGCCTTGCAAGGTGCTAGGAATACAGGCGTGAACTACCGTGCCTGGCCAGTTTTGCCTGTTTTTGAACTCTCTGTCAACGGAATCACATAGTGATACACATTTGCATATCTAGTGGCATTTGCTCAGCCTAAAGTGTTTTTTTTTTCCTTCCTCTTCCCCTTACAACTATTTTTTAGTTGTTTATTTTACTTCATTAAAAAAATGAAAAGATTTGAGGTATAATTCATACACAGTAAAACAGACTCGCTTTACAGGTAGTTTCAATTGTATACTGTTGTATAATCGCCATCAAGATCTAGAACTATT